>NC_000002.12:93296107-93465033 GCF_000001405.40 Homo sapiens
TCTATCTAGCTTTTATTGGAAGATATTTCCTTTTTCACCGTATTCCTGAGAACTCTCCAAATGTCCACTTCCAGATACTACAAAAAAGGTGCTGGAGAGGATGCGGAGAAATAGGAACACTTTTACACTGTTGGTGGGACTTTAAACTAGTTCAACCATTGTGGAAGTCAGTGTGGCGATTCCTCAGGGATCTAGAACTGGAAATACCATTTGACCCAGCCATCCCATTACTGGGTATATACCCAAAGGTCTATAAATCATGCTGCTATAAAGACACATGCACACGTATGTTTATTGCGGCACTATTCACAATAGCAAAGACTTGGAACCAACCCAAATGTCCAACAATGATAGACTGGGATTAAGAAAAATGGGGCACATATACACCATGGAATATGATGCAGCCCTAAAAAATGATGAGTTCATATCCTTTAGCAATGTCAGAAACTTTTTCATGATGTATCTACTCAGCTAACAGAGTTGAACCTTCCTTTGAGAGAGCAGTTTTGAAACACTCGTTTTGTGGAATCTGCAAGTGGATATTTGTCTAGCTTTGAGGATTTCGTTGGAAACGGGATTACATATAAAAAGCAGACAGCAGCATTCCCAGAAACTTCTTTGTGATGTTTGCATTCAAGTCACAGAGTTGAACATTCCCTTTCATAGAGCAGGTTTGAAACACTCTTTTTGTAGTATCTGGATGTGGACATTTCCAGCGCTTTCAGGCCTAAGGTGAAAAAGGAAATATCTTCCCCTGAAAACTAGACAGAAGCATTCTCAGAAACTTATTTGTGATGTGCGCCCTCAACTAACAGTGTTGAAGCTTTATTTTGATAGAGCAGTTTTGAAACACTCTTTTTGTAATATCTGCAAGAGAATATTTGGATAGCTTTGAGGATTTCGTTGGAAACGGGATTGTCTTCATATAAACTCTAGAAAGAAGCATTCTCAGAAGCTTCATTGGGATGTTTCAATTGAAGTCACAGTGTTGAACAGTCCCTTTCATAGAGCAGGTTTGAAACACTCTTTTTGTAGTATCTGGATGTGGACATTTGGAGCGCTTTCAGGCCTATGGTGAAAAAGGAAATATCTTCCCCTGAAAACTAGACAGAAGCATTCTCAGAATCTTATTTGTGATGTGCGCCCTCAACTAACAGTGTTGAAGCTTTCTTTTGATAGAGCAGTTTTGAAACACTCTTTTCGTAAAATCTGCAAGAGGATATTTGGATAGCTTTGAGGATTTCGTTGGAAACGGGATTACATATAAAAAGCAGACAGCAGCATTCTCAGAAACTTATTTGTGATGTGCGCCCTCAACTAACAGTGTTGAAGCTTTATTTTGATAGAGCAGTTTTGAAACACTCTTTTTGTAATATCTGCAAGAGAATATTTGGATAGCTTTGAGGATTTCGTTGGAAACGGGATTGTCTTCATATAAACTCTAGAAAGAAGCATTCTCAGAAGCTTCATTGGGATGTTTCAGTTGAGGTCACAGTGTTGAACAGTCCCTTTCATAGAGCAGGTTTGAAACACTCTTTTTGTAGTATCTGGAAGTGGACATTTGGAGCGCTCTCAGGACTGCGGTGAAAAAGGAAATATCTTCCAATAAAAGCTAGATAGAAGCAATGTCAGAAACTTTTTCATGATGTATCTACTCAGCTAACAGAGTTGAACCTTTCTTTTGAGAGAGCAGTTTTGAAACACTCTTTTTGTGGAATCTGCAAGTGAATATTTGGCTGGCCTTGAGGATTTCGTTGGAAACGGGAATACTTATAAAAAGCAGACAGCAGCATTGTGAGAAACTTCTTTGTGATGTTTGCATTCAAGTCACAGAGTTCAAAGTTCCGTATCCTAGAGCAGGTTGGAAACACGCCTTTTGTCATATCTGGAAGTGTCCATTTGGAGCGCATTCAGGCTTGTGTTGAAAAAGGAAATATCTTCCCAAAGAAACCAGACAGAAGCATTCTCAGAAACTTATTTGTGATGTGCGCCCTCAACTAACCAGTGTTGAAGCTTTCTTTTGATAGAGCAGTTTTGAAACACTCTTTTTGTAAAATCTGCAAGAGGATATTTGGATAGCTTTGAGGATTTCGTTGGAAACGGGATTGTCTTCATATAAACTCTAGACAGAAGCATTCTCAGAAGCTTCATTGGGATGTTTCAATTGAAGTCACAGTGTTGAACAGTTCCTTTCATAGAACAGGTTTGAAACACTCTTTTTGTAGTATCTGGAAGTGGACATTTGGAGCGCTCTCAGGACAGCGGTGAAAAAGGAAATATCTTCCAATAAAAGCTACATAGAAGCATTCTCAGAAACTTATTTGTGATGTGCGCCCTCAACTAACAGTGTGGAAGCTTTCTTTTGATAGAGCAGTTTTGAAACACTCTTTTTGTAATATCTGCAAGAGGATATTTAGATAGCTTTGAGGATTTCGTTGGAAACGGGATTACATATAAAAAGCAGACAGCAGCATTCTCAGTAAACTTATTTGTGATGTGCGCCCTCAACTAACAGTGTTGAACCTTTCTTTTGATAGAGCAGTTTTGAAACACTCTTTTTGTAATATCTGCAAGAGGATATTTGGATAGCTTTGAGGATTTCGTTGGAAACGGGATTGTCTTCATATAAACTCTAGACAGAAGCATTCTCAGAAGCTTCATTGGGATGTTTCAATTGAAGTCACAGTGTTGAACAGTCCCTTTCATAGAGCAGGTTTGAAACACTCTTTTTGTAGTATCTGGAAGTGGACATTTGGAGCGTTCTCAGGACTACGGTGAAAAAGGAAATATCTTCCAATAAAAGCTAGATAGAAGCAATGTCAGAAACTTTTTCATGATGTATCTACTCAGCTAACAGAGTTGAACCTTCATTTGAGAGAGCAGTTTTGGAACACTCGTTTTGTGGAATCTGCAAGTGGATATTTGTCTAGCTTTGAGGATTTCGTTGGAAACGGGATTACATAGAAAAAGCAGACAGCAGCATTCCCAGTAACTTCTTTGTGATGCTTGCATTCAAGTCACAGAGTTGAACATTCCCTTTCATAGAGCAGGTTTGAAACACTCTTTTTGTAGTATCTGGATGTGGACATTTGGAGCGCTTTCAGGCCTATGGTGAAAAAGGAAATATCTTCCCCTGAAAACTAGAAAGAAGCATTCTCAGAAACTTATTTGTGATGTGCGCCCTCAACTAACAGTGTTGAACCTTTCTTTTGATAGAGCAGTTTTGAAACACTCTTTTTGTAATATCTGCAAGAGGATATTTGGATAGCTTTGAGGATTTCGTTGGAAACGGGATTCTCTTCATATAAACTCTAGACAGAAGTATTCTCAGAAGCTTCATTGGGATGTTTCAATTGAAGTCACAGTGTTGAACAGTCCCTTTCATAGAGCAGGTTTGAAACACTCTTTTTGTAGTATCCGGATGTGGACATTTGGAGCGCTTTCAGGCCTATGGTGAAAAAGGAAATATCTTCCCCTGAAAACTAGACAGAAGCATTCTCAGAAACTTATTTGTGATGTGCGCCCTCAACTAACAGTGTTGAAGCTTTCTTTTGATAGAGCAGTTTTGAAACACTCTTTTTGTGGAATCTGCAAGTGGATATTTGTCTAGCTTTGAGGATTTCGTTGGAAACGGGATTACATATAAAAAGCAGACAGCAGCATTCTCAGAAACTTATTTGTGATGTGCGCCCTCAACTAACAGTGTTGAAGCTTTCTTTTGATAGAGCAGTTTTGAAACACTCTTTTTGTAATATCTGCAAGAGGATATTTGGATAGCTTTGAGGATTTCGTTGGAAACGGGATTAATTATACAAAGCAGACAGCAGCATTCTGAGAAGCTTCATTGGGATGTTTCAATTGAAGTCACAGTTTTGAACAGTCCCTTTCATAGAGCAGGTTTGAAACACTCTTTTTGTAGCATCTGGAAGTGGACATTTGGAGCGCTCTCAGGACTACAGTGAAAAAGGAAATATCTTCCAATAAAAGCTAGATAGAAGCAATGTCAGCAAACTTTTTCATGATGTATCTACTCAGCTAACAGAGTTGAACCTTTCTTTTGAGAGAGCAGTTTTGAAACACTCTTTTTGTGGAAACTGCAAGTGGATATTTCTCTAGCTTTGAGGATTTCGTTGGAAACGGGATTACATATAAAAAGCAGACAGCAGCATTCCCAGAAACTTGTTTGTGATGTTTGCATTCAAGTCACAGAGTTGAACATTCCCTTTCATAGAGCAGGTTTGAAACACTCTTTTTGTAGTATCTGGATGTGGACATTTGGAGCGCTTTCAGGCCTATGGTGAAAAAGGAAATATCTTCCCCTGAAAACTAGACAGAAGCATTCTCAGAATCTTATTTGTGATGTGCGCCCTCAACTAACAGTGTTGAAGCTTTCTTTTGATAGAGCAGTTTTGAAACACTCTTTTCGTAAAATCTGCAAGAGGATATTTTGATAGCTTTGAGGATTACGTTGGAAACGGGATTGTCTTCAAATAAACTCTAGACAGAAGCATTCTCAGAAGCGTCATTGGGATGTTTCAATTGAAGTCACAGTGTTGAACAGTCCCTTTCATAGAGCAGGTTTGAAACACTCTTTTTGTAGTATCTGGATGTGGACATTTGGAGCGCTTTCAGGCCTATGGTTTAAAAGGAAATATCTTCCCCTGAAAACTAGACAGAAGCATTCTCAGAAACTTATTTGTGATGTGCGCCCTCAACTAACAGTGTTGAAGCTTTCTTTTGATAGAGCAGTTTTGAAACACTCTTTTTGTGGAATCTGCAAGTGGATATTTGTCTAGCTTTGAGGATTTCGTTGGAAACGGGATTACATATAAAAAGCAGACAGCAGCATTCTCAGAAACTTATTTGTGATGTGCGCCCTCAACTAACAGTGTTGAAGCTTTCTTTTGATAGAGCAGTTTTGAAACACTCTTTTTGTAATATCTGCAAGAGGATATTTGGATAGCTTTGAGGATTTCGTTGGAAACGGGATTAATTATACAAAGCAGACAGCAGCATTCTCAGAAGCTTCATTGGGATGTTTCAATTGAAGTCACAGTGTTGAACAGTCCCTTTCATAGAACAGGTTTGAAACACACTTTTTGTAGTATCTGGAAGTGGACATTTGGAGGGCTCTCAGGACTATGGTGAAAAATTAAATATCTTCCAATAAAAGCTACATAGAAGCAATGTCAGAAACTTTTTCATGATGTATCTACTCAGCTAACAGAGGTGAACCTTTCCTTTGAGAGAGCAGTTTTGAAACACTCTTTTTGTGGAATCTGCAAGTGGATATTTGTCTAGCTTTGAGGATTTCGTTGGAAACGGGATTACATATAAAAAGCAGACAGCAGCATTCCCAGAAACTTCTTTGTGATGTTTGCATTCAAGTCACAGAGTTGAACATTCCGTTTCATAGAGCAGGTTTGAAACACTCTTTTTGTAGTATCTGGATGTGGACATTTGCAGCGCTTTCAGGCATAAGGTGAAAAAGGAAATATCTTCCCCTGAAAACTAGACAGAAGCATTCTCAGAATCTTATTTGTGATGTGCGCCCTCAACTAACAGTGTTGAAGCTTTCTTTTGATAGAGCAGTTTTGAAACACTCTTTTTGTAAAATCTGCAAGAGGATATTTGGATAGCTTTGAGGATTTCGTTGGAAACGGGATTGTCTTCATATAAACTCTAGACAGAAGCATTCTCAGAAGCGTCATTGGGATGTTTCAATTGAAGTCACAGTGTTGAACAGTCCCTTTCATAGAGCAGGTTTGAAACACTCTTTTTGTAGTATCTGGATGTGGACATTTGGAGCGCTTTCAGGCCTATGGTTTAAAAGGAAATATCTTCCCCTGAAAACTAGACAGAAGCATTCTCAGAAACTTATTTGTGATGTGCGCCCTCAACTAACAGTGTTGAAGCATTCTTTTGATAGAGCAGTTTTGAAACACTCTTTTTGTGGAATCTGCAAGTGGATATTTGTCTAGCTTTGAGGATTTCGTTGGAAACGGGATTACATATAAAAAGCAGACAGCAGCATTCTCAGAAACTTATTTGTGATGTGCGCCCTCAACTAACAGTGTTGAAGCTTTCTTTTGATAGAGCAGTTTTGAAACACTCTTTTTGTAATATCTGCAAGAGGATATTTGGATAGCTTTGAGGATTTCGTTGGAAACGGGATTAATTATACAAAGCAGACAGCAGCATTCTCAGAAGCTTCATTGGGATGTTTCAATTGAAGTCACAGTGTTGAACAGTCCCTTTCATATAGCAGGTTTGAAACACTCTTTTTGTAGTATCTGGAAGTGGACATTTTGAGCGCTCTCAGGACTACGGTGAAAAAGGTAATATCTTCCAATAAAAGCTAGATAGAAGCAATGTCAGAAACTTTTTCATGATGTATCTACTCAGCTAACAGAGTTGAACCTTTCTTTTGACAGAGCAGTTTTGAAACACTCTTTTTGTGGAATCTGCAAGTGGATATTTGTCTAGCTTTGAGGATTTCGTTGGAAATGGGATTACATATAAAAAGCAGACAGCAGCATTCCCAGTAACTTCTTTGTGATGTTTGCATTCAAGTCACAGAGTTGAACATTCCCTTTCATACAGCAGGTTTGAAACACTCTTTTTGTAGTATCTGGATGTGGACATTTGGAGCGCTTTCAGGCCTATGGTGAAAAAGGAAATATCTTCCCCTGAAAACTAGACAGAAGCATTCTCAGAAACTTATTTGTAATGTGCGCCCTCAACTAACAGTGTTGAACCTTTCTTTTGATAGAGCAGTTTTGAAACACTCTTTTTGTAATATCTGCAAGAGGATATTTGGATAGCTTTGAGGATTTCGGTGGAAACGGGATTGTCTTCATATAAACTCTAGACAGAAGCATTCTCAGAAGCTTCATTGGGATGTTTCAATTGAAGTCACAGTGTTGAACAGTCCCTTTCATAGAGCAGGTTTCAAACACTCTTTTTGTAGTATCTGGATGTGGACATTTGGAGCGCTTTCAGGCCTATGGTTTAAAAGGAAATATCTTCCCCTGAAAACTAGACAGAAGCATTCTCAGAAACTTATTTGTGATGTGCGCCCTCAACTAACAGTGTTGAAGCTTTCTTTTGATAGAGCAGTTTTGAAACACTCTTTTTGTGGAATCTGCAAGTGGATATTTGTCTAGCTTTGAGGATTTCGTTGGAAACGGGATTACATATAAAAAGCAGACAGCAGCATTCTCAGAAACTTATTTGTGATGTGCGCCCTCAACTAACAGTGTTGAAGCTTTCTTTTGATAGAGCAGTTTTGAAACACTCTTTTTGTAATATCTGCAAGAGGATATTTGGATAGCTTTGAGGATTTCGTTGGAAACGGGATTAATTATACAAAGCAGACAGCAGCATTCTCAGAAGCTTCATTGGGATGTTTCAATTGAAGTCACAGTGTTGAAGAGTCCCTTTCATAGAGCAGGTTTGAAAAACTCTTTTTGTAGCATCTGGAAGTGGACATTTGGAGCGTTCTCAGGACTACGTTGAAAAAGGAAATATCTTCCAATAAAAGCTAGATAGAACCAATGTCAGAAACTTTTTCATGATGTATCTACTCAGCTAACAGAGTTGAACCTTCATTTGAGAGAGCAGTTTTGAAACACTCTTTTTGTGGAATCTGCAAGTGGATATTTGTCTAGCTTTGAGGATTTCGTTGGAAACGGGATTACATATAAAAAGCAGACAGCAGCATTCCCAGTAACTTCTTTGTGACGTTTGCATTCAAGTCACAGAGTTGAACATTCCCTTTCATAGAGCAGGTTGGAAACACTCTTTTTGTAGTATCTGGATGTGGACATTTGGAGCGCTTTCTGGCCTTTGGTGAAAAAGGAAATATCTTCCCCTGAAAACTAGACAGAAGCATTCTCAGAAACTTATTTGTGATGTGCGCCCTCAACTAACAGTGTTGAAGCTTTCTTTTGATAGAGCAGTTTTGAAACACTCTTTTTGTAAAATCTGCAAGAGGATATTTGGATAGCTTTGAGGATTTCGTTGGAAACGGGATTGTCTTCATATAAACTCTAGACAGAAGCATTCTCAGAAGCTTCATTGGGATGTTTCAATTGAAGTCACAGTGTTGAACAGTCCCTTTCATAGAGCAGGTTTGAAACACTCTTTTTGTAGTATCTGGATGTGGACATTTGGAGCGCTTTCAGGCCTATGGTGAAAAAGGAAATATCTTCCCCTGAAAACTAGACAGAAGCATTCTCAGAAACTTATTTGTGATGTGCGCCCTCAACTAACAGTGTTGAAGCTTTCTTTTGATAGAGCAGTTTTGAAACACTCTTTTTGTGGAATCTGCAAGTGGATATTTGTCTAGCTTTGAGGATTTCGTTGGAAACAGGATTACATATACAAAGCAGACAGCAGCATTCCCTGAATCTTCTTTGTGATGTTTGCATTCAAGTCACAGAGTTGAACATTCCCTTTCATAGAGCAGGTTTGAAACACTCTTTTTGTAGTATCTGGATGTGGACATTTGGAGCGCTTTCAGGCCTATGGTGAAAAAGGAAATATCTTCCCCTGAAAACTAGACAGAAGCATTCTCAGAAGCTTCATTGGGATGTTTCAATTGAAGTCACAGTGTTGAACAGTCCCTTTCATAGAGCAGGTTTGAAACACTCTTTTTGTAGTATCTGGAAGTGGACATTTGGAGAGATCTCAGGAATACGGTGATAAAGGAAATATCTTCCAATAAAAGCTAGATAGAAGCAATGTCAGAAACTTTTTCATGATGTATCTACTCAGCTAACAGAGTTGAACCTTTCTTTTGAGAGAGCAGTTTTGAAACACTCTTTTTGTGGAATCTGCAAGTTGATATTTGTCTAGCTTTGAGGACTTCGTTGGAAACGGGATTACATATAAAAAGCAGACAGCAGCATTCCCAGTAACTTCTTTGTGATGTTTGCATTCAAGTCACAGAGTTGAACATTCCCTTTCATAGAGCAGGTTTGAAACACTCTTTTTGTAGTATCTGGAAGTGGACATTTGGAGCGCTCTCAGGACTACGGTGATAAAGGAAATATCTTCCAATAAAAGCTAGATAGAAGCATTCTCAGAAACTTATTTGTGATGTGCGCCCTCAACTAACAGTGTTGAACCTTTCTTTTGATAGAGCAGTTTTGAAACACTCTTTTTGTAATATCTGCAAGAGGATATTTCGATAGCTTTGAGGATTTCGTTGGAAACGGGATTGTCTTCATATAAACTCTAGACAGAAGCATTCTCAGAAGCTTCATTGGGATGTTTCAATTGAAGTCACAGTGTTGAACAGTCCCTTTCATAGAGCAGGTTTGAAACACTCTTTTTGTAGTATCTGGATGTGGACATTTGGAGCGCTTTCAGGCATATGGTTTAAAAGGAAATATCTTCCCCTGAAAACTAGACAGAAGCATTCTCAGAAACTTATTTGTGATGTGCGCCCTCAACTAACAGTGTTGAACCTTTCTTTTGATAGAGCAGTTTTGAAACACTCTTTTTGTGGAATCTGTAAGTGGATATTTGTCTAGCTTTGAGGATTTCGTTGGAAACGGGATTACATATAAAAAGCAGACAGCAGCATTCTCAGAATCTTATTTGTGATGTGCGCCCTCAACTAACAGTGTTGAAGCTTTCTTTTGATAGAGCAGTTTTGAAACTCTCTTTTTGTAAAATCTGCAAGAGGATATTTGGATAGCTTTGAGGATTTCGTTGGAAACGGGATTGTCTTCATATAAACTCTAGACAGTAGCATTCTCAGAAGCTTCATTGGGATGTTTCAATTGAAGTCACAGTGTTGAACAGTCCCTTTCATAGAGCAGGTTTGAAACACTCTTTTTGTAGTATCTGGAAGTGGACATTTGGAGCGCTCTCAGGACTACGGTGAAAAAGGAAATATCTTCCAATAAAAGCTAGATAGAAGCAATGTCAGAAAATTGTTCATGATGTATCTATTCAGCTAACAGAGTTGAACTTTTCTTTTGAGAGAGCAGTTTTGAAACACTCTTTTTGTGGAATCTGCAAGTGGATATTTGTCTAGCTTTGAGGATTTCGTTGGAAACGGGATTACATATAAAAAGCAGACAGCAGCATTCCCAGAAACTTCTTTGTGAAGTTTGCATTCAAGTCACAGAGTTGAAGATTCCCTTTCATAGAGCAGGTTTGAAACACTCATTTGTAGTATCTGGATGTGGACATTTGGAGCGCTTTCAGGCCTATGGTGAAAAAGGAAATATCTTCCCCTGAAAACTAGACAGAAGCATTCTCAGAATCTTATTTGTGATGTGCGCCCTCAACTAACAGTGTTGAAGCTTTCTTTTGATAGAGCAGTTTTGAAACACTCTTTTTGTAAAATCTGCAAGAGGATATTTGGATAGCTTTGAGGATTTCGTTGGAAACGAGATTGTCTTCATATAAACTCTAGACAGAAGCATTCTCAGAAGCTTCATTGGGATGTTTCAATTGAAGTCACAGTGTTGAACAGTCCCTTTCATAGAGCAGGTTTGAAACACTCTTTTTGTAGTATCTGGATGTGGACATTTCGAGCGCTTTCAGGCCTATGGTGAAAAAGGAAATATCTTCCCCTGAAAACTAGACAGAAGCATTCTCAGAAACTTATTTATGATGTGCGCCCTCAACTAACAGTGTTGAAGCATTCCTTTGATAGAGCAGTTTTGAAACACTCTTTTTGTGGAATCTGCAAGTGGATATTTGTCTATCTTTGAGGATTTCGTTGGAAACGGGATTACATATAAAAAGCAGACAGCTAAGCATTCTCCGAAACTTATTTGTGATGGGCGCCCTCAACTAACAGTGTTGAAGCTTTCTTTTGATAGAGCAGTTTTGAAACACTCTTTTTGTAATATCTGCAAGAGGATATTTGGATAGCTTTCAGGATTTCGTTGGAAACGGGATTGTCTTCATATAAACTCTAGACATAAGCATTCTCAGAAGCTTCTTTGGGATGTTTCAATTGAAGTCACAGTGTTGAACAGTTCCTTTCATAGAACAGGTTTGAAACACTCTTTTTGTAGTATCTGGAAGTGGACATTTGGAGCGCTCTCAGGACTATGGTGAAAAAGGAAATATCTTCCAATAAAAGCTACATAGAAGCAATGTCAGAAACTTTTTCATGATGTATCTACTCAGCTAACAGAGTTGAACCTTTCCTTTGAGAGAGCAGTTTTGAAACACTCTTTTTGTGGAATCTGCAAGTGGATATTTGTCTAGCTTTGAGGATTTCGTTGGAAACGGGATTACATATAAAAAGCAGACAGCAGCATTCCCAGAATCTTGTTTGTGATGTTTGCATTCAAGTCACAGAGTTGAACATTCCCTTTCAGAGAGCAGGTTTGAAACACTCTTTTTATAGTATCTGGATGTGGACATTTGGAGCGCTTTCAGGCCTATGGTGAAAAAGGAAATATCTTCTCCTGTAAACTAGACAGAAGCATTCTCAGAATCTTATTTGTGATGTGCCCCCTCAAATAACAGTGTTGAAGCTTTCTTTTGATAGAGCAGTTTTGAAACACTCTTTTCGTAAAATCTGCAAGAGGATATTTTGATAGCTTTGAGGATTTCGTTGGAAACGGGATTGTCTTCATATAAACTCTAGACAGAAGCATTCTCAGAAGCTTCATTGGGATGTTTCAATTGAAGTCACAGTGTTGAACAGTCCCTTTCATAGAGCAGGTTTGAAACACTCTTTTTGTAGTATCTGGATGTGGACATTTGGAGCGCTTTCAGGCCTATGGTGAAAAAGGAAATATCTTCCCCTGAAAACTAGACAGAAGCATTCTCAGAAACTTATTTGTGATGTGCGCCCTCAACTAACAGTGTTGAACCTTTCTTTTGATAGAGCAGTTTTGAAACACTCTTTTTGTAATATCTGCAAGAGGATATTTGGATAGCTTTGAGGATTTCGTTGGAAACGGGATTACATATAAAAAGCAGACAGCAGCATTCTCAGTAAACTTATTTGTGATGTGCGCCCTCAACTAACAGTGTTGAACCTTTCTTTTGATAGAGCAGTTTTGAAACACTCTTTTTGTAATATCTGCAAGAGGATATTTGGATAGCTTTGAGGATTTCGTTGGAAACGGGATTGTCTTCATATAAACTCTAGACAGAATCATTCTCAGAAGCTTCATTGGGATGTTTCAATTGAAGTCACAGTGTTGAACAGTCCCTTTCATAGAGCAGATTTGAAACACTCTTTTTGTAGTATCTGGAAGTGGACATTTGGAGCGCTCTCAGGACTACGGTGAAAAAGGAAATATCTTCCAAATAAAGCTAGATAGAAGCAATGTCAGAAAATTTCTCATGATGTATCTATTCAGCTAACAGAGTTGAACCTTTCTTTTGACAGAGCAGTTTTGAAACACTCTTTTTGTGGAATCTGCAAGTGGATATTTGTCTAGCTTTGAGGATTTCGTTGGAAACGGGATTACATATAAAAAGCAGACAGCAGCATTCCCAGAAACTTCTTTGTGATATTTGCATTCAAGTCACAGACTTGAACATTCCCTTTCATAGAGCAGGTTTGAAACACTCTTTTTGTAGTATCTGGATGTGGACATTTGGAGCGCTTTCAGGCCTATGGTGAAAAAGGAAATATCTTCCCCTTAAAACTAGACAGAAGCATTCTCAGAATCTTATTTGTGATGTGCGCCCTCAACTAACAGTGTTGAAGCTTTCTTTTGATAGAGCAGATTTGAAACACTCTTTTTGTAAAATCTGCAAGAGGATATTTGCATAGCTTTGAGGATTTCATTGGAAACAGGATTGTCTTCAAATAAACTCTAGACAGAAGCATTCTCAGAAGCTTCATTGGGATGTTTCAATTGAAGTCACAGTGTTGAACAGTCCCTTTCATAGAGCAGGTTTGAAACACTCTTTTTGTAGTATCTGGATGTGGACATTTGGAGCGCTTTCAGGCCTATGGTGAAAAAGGAAATATCTTCCCCTGAAAACTAGACAGAAGCATTCTCAGAAACTTACTTGTGATGTGCGCCCTCAACTAACAGTGTTGAAGCATTCTTTTGATAGAGCAGTTTTGAAACACTCTTTTTGTGGAATCTGCAAGTGGATATTTGTCTAGTTTTGAGGATTTCGTTGGAAACGGGATTACATATAAAAAGCAGACAGCAGCATTCTCAGAAACTTATTTGTGATGTGCGCCCTCAACTAACAGTGTTGAAGCTTTCTTTTGATAGAGCAGTTTTGAAACACTCTTTTTGTAATATCTGCAAGAGGATATTTGGATAGCTTTGAGGATTTCGTTGGAAACGGGATTAATTATACAAAGCAGACAGCAGCATTCTCAGAAGCTTCATTGGGATGTTTCAATTGAAGTCACAGTGTTGAACAGTCCCTTTCATAGAGCAGGTTTGAAACACTCTTTTTGTAGTATCTGGAAGTGGACATTTGGAGCGCTCTCAGGACTACGGTGAAAAAGGAAATATCTTCCAATAAAAGCTAGATAGAAGCAATGTCAGAAACTTTTTCATGATGTATCTACTCAGCTAACAGAGTTGAACCTTTCCTTCGAGAGAGCAGTTTTGAAACACTCTTTTTGTGGAATCTGCAAGTGGAAATTTGTCTAGCTTTGAGGATTTCGTTGGAAACGGGATTACATATAAAAAGCAGACAGCAGCATTCCCAGAAACTTCTTTGTGATGTTTGCATTCAAGTCACAGAGTTGAACATTCCCTTTCATAGAGCAGGTTTGAAACACTCTTTTTGTAGTATCTGGATGTGGACATTTGGAGCGCTTTCAGGCCTATGGTGAAAAAGGAAATATCTTCCCCTGAAAACTAGACAGAAGAATTCTCAGAATCTTATTTGTGATGTGCGCCCTCAACTAACAGTGTTGAAGCTTTCTTTTGATAGAGCAGTTTTGAAACACTCTTTTTGTAAAATCTGCAAGAGGATATTTGGATAGCTTTGAGGATTTCGTTGGAAACGGGATTGTCTTCATATAAACTCTAGACAGAAGCATTCTCAGAAGCGTCATTGGGATGTTTGAATTGAAGTCACAGTGTTGAACAGTCCCTTTCATAGAGCAGGTTTGAAACACTCTTTTTGTAGTATCTGGATGTGGACATTTGGAGCGCTTTCAGGCCTATGGTTTAAAAGGAAATATCTTCCCCTGAAAACTAGACAGAAGCATTCTCAGAAACTTATTTGTGATGTGCGCCCTCAACTAACAGTGTTGAAGCATTCTTTTGATAGAGCAGTATTGAAACACTCTTTTTGTGGAATCTGCAAGTGGATATTTGTCTAGCTTTGAGGATTTCGTTGGAAACGGGATTACATATAAAAAGCAGACAGCAGCATTCTCAGTAAACTTATTTGTGATGTGCGCCCTCAACTAACAGTGTTGAACCTTTCTTTTGATAGAGCAGTTTTGAAACACTCTTTTTGTAATATCTGCAAGAGGATATTTGGATAGCTTTGAGGATTTCGTTGGAAACGGGATTGTCTTCATATAAACTCTAGACAGAAGCATTCTCAGGAGCTTCATTGGGATGTTTCAATTGAAGTAACAGTGTTGAACAGTCCCTTTCATAGAGCAGGTTTGAAACACTCTTTTTGTACCATCTGGAAGTGGACATTTGGAGCGTTCTCAGGACTACGGTGAAAAAGGAAATATCTTCCAATAAAGGCTAGATAGAAGCAATGTCAGAAACTTTTTCATGATGTATCTACTCAGGTAAAAGAGTTGAACCTTTCTTTTGAGAGAGCAGTTTTGAGACACTCTTTTTGTGGAATCTGCAAGTGGATATTTGTCTAGCTTTGAGGATTTCGTTGGAAACGGGATTACATATAAAAAGCAGACAGCAGCATTCCCAGAAACTTCTTTGTGAAGTTTGCATTCAAGTCACAGAGTTGAACATTCCCTTTCATAGAGCAGGTTTGAAACACTCTTTTTGTAGTATCTGTATGTGGACATTTGGAGCGCTTTCAGGCCTATGGTGAAAAAGGAAATATCTTCCCCTGAAAACTAGACAGAAGCATTCTCAGAATCTTATTTGTGATGTGCGCCCTCAACTAACAGAGTTGAAGCTTTCTTTTGATAGAGCAGTTTTGAAACACTCTTTTTGTAAAATCTGCAAGAGGATATTTGGATAGCTTTGAGGATTTCGTTGGAAACGGGATTGTCTTCATATAAACTCTAGACAGAAGCATTCTCAGAAGCTTCATTGGGATGTTTCAATTGAAGTCACAGTGTTGAACAGTCCCTTTCATAGAGCAGGTTTGAAACACACTATTTGTAGTATCTGGAAGTGGACATTTGCGGCGCTCTCAGGACTGCGGTGAAAAAGGAAATATCTTCCAATAAAAGCTAGATAGAAGCATTCTCAGAAACTTATTTGTGATGTGCGCCCTCAACTAACAGTGTTGAACCTTTCTTTTGATAGAGCAGTTTTGAAACACTCTTTTTGTAATATCTGCAAGAGGATATTTGGATAGCTTTGAGGATTTCGTTGGAAACGGGATTACATATAAAAAGCAGACAGCAGCATTCTGAAAAACTTATTTGTGATGTGCGCCCTCAACTAACAGTGTTGAACTTTTCTTTTGATAGAGCAGTTTTGAAACACTCTTTTTGTAAAATCTGCAAGAGGATATTTGGATAGCTTTGAGGATTTCGTTGGAAACGGGATTGTCTTCATATAAAATCTAGACAGAAGCATTCTCAGAAGCTTCATTGGGATGTTTCAATTGAAGTCACAGTGTTGAACAGTCCCTTTCATAGAGCATGTTTGAAACAATCTTTTTGTAGTATCTGGAAGTGGACATTTGGAGCGCTCTCAGGACTACGGTGAAAAAGGAAATATCTTCCAAATAAAGCTAGATAGAAGCAATGTCAGAAAATTTCTCATGATGTATCTATTCAGCTAACAGAGTTGAACCTTTCTTTTGACAGAGCAGTTTTGAAACACTCTTTTTGTGGAATCTGCAAGTGGATATTTGTCTACCTTTGAGGATTTCGTTGGAAACGGGATTACATATAAAAAGCAGACAGCAGCATTCCCAGAAACTTCTTTGTGATGTTTGCATTCAAGTCACAGAGTTGAACATTCCCTTTCATAGAGCAGGTTTGAAACACTCTTTTTGTAGTATCTGGATGTGGACATTTGGAGCGCTTTCAGGCCTATGGTGAAAAAGGAAATATCTTCCCCTGAAAACTAGACAGAAGCATTCTCAGAAACTTATTTGTGATGTGCGCCCTCAACTAACAATGTTGAACCTTTCTGTTGATAGAGTAGTTTTGAAACACTCTTTTTGTAAAATCTGCAAGAGGATATTTGGATAGCTTTGAGGATTTCGTTTGAAACGGGATTGTCTTCATATTAACCCTAGACAGTAGCATTCTCAGAAGGTTCATTGGGATGTTTCAATTGAAGTCACAGTGTTGAACAGTCACTTTCATAGAGCAGGTTTGAAACACTCTTTTTGTAGCATCTGGAAGTGGACATTTGGAGCGCTCTCAGGACTACGGTGAAAAAGGAAATATCTTCCAATAAAAGCTAGATAGAAGCAATGTCAGAAAATTTTTCATGATCTATCTACTCAGCTAACAGAGTTGAACCTTTCTTTTGAGAGAGCCGTTTTGAAACACTCTTTTTGTGGAACCTGCAAGTGGATATTTGTCTAGCTTTGAGGATTTCGTTGGAAACGGGATTACATATAAAAAGCAGACAGCAGCATTCGCAGAAACTTCTTTGTGATGTTTGCATTCAAGTCACAGAGTTGAACATTCCCTTTCATAGAGCAGGTTTGAAACACTCTTTTTGTAGTATCTGGATGTGGACATTTGGAGCGCTTTCCGGCCTATGGTGAAAAAGGAAATATCTTCCCCTGAAAACTAGACAGAAGCATTCTCAGAAACTTTTTTGTGATGCGCGCCCTCAACTAACAGTGTTGAAGCTTTCTTTTGATAGAGCAGTTTTGAAACACTCTTTTTGTAAAATCTGCAAGAGGATATTAGGATAGCTTTGAGGATTTCGGTGGAAATGGGATTGTCTTCATATAAACTCTAGACAGTAGCATTCTCAGAAGCTTCATTGGGATGTTTCAATTGAAGTCACAGTGTTGAACATTCCCTTTCATAGAGCAGGTTTGAAACACTCTTTTTGTAGTATCTGGAAGTGGAAATTTGGAGCGCTCTCAGGACTACGGTGAAAAAGGAAATATCTTCCAATAAAAGCTAGATAGAAGCAATGTCAGAAACTTTTTCATGATGTATCTACTCAGCTAACAGAGTTGAACATTTTTTCTGAGAGAGCAGTTTTGAAACACTCTTTTTGTGGAATCTGCAGGTGGATATTTGTCTAGCTTTCAGGATTATGTTGGAAACGGGATTACATATAAAAAGCAGACAGCAGCATTCCCAGAAACTTCTTTGTGATGTTTGCATTCAAGTCACAGAGTTGAACATTCCCTTTCATAGAGCAGGTTTGAAACACTCTTTTTGTACTATCTGGATGTGGACATTTGGAGCGCTTTCAGGCCTATGGTGAAAAAGGAAATATCTTCCCCTGAAAACTAGACAGAAGCATTCTCAGAATCTTATTTGTGATGTGCGCCCTCAACTAACAGTGTTGAAGCTTTCTTTTGATAGAGCAGTTTTGAAACACTCTTTTTGTAAAATCTGCAAGAGGATATTTGGATAGCTTTGAGGATTTCGTTGGAAACGGGATTGTCTTCATATAAACTCTAGACAGAAGCATTCTCAGAAGCGTCATTGGGATATTTCAATTGAAGTCACAGTGTTGAACAGTCCCTTTCATAGAGCAGGTTTGAAACACTCTTTTTGTAGTATCTGGATGTGGACATTTGGAGCGCTTTCAGGCCTATGGTTTAAAAGGAAATATCTTCCCCTGAAAACTAGACAGAAGCATTCTCAGAAACTTATTTGTGATGTGCGCCCTCAACTAACAGTGTTGAAGCATTCTTTTGATAGAGCAGTTTTGAAACACTCTTTTTGTGGAATCTGCAAGTGGATATTTGTCTAGCTTTGAGGATTTCGTTGGAAAAGGGATTACATATAAAAAGCAGACAGCAGCATTCCCAGAAACTTCTTTGTGATGTTTGCATTCAAGTCACAGAGTTGAACATTCCCTTTCATAGAGCAGGTTTGAAACACTCTTTTTGTAGTATCTGGATGTGGACATTTGCAGCGCTCTCAGGTCTATGGTGAAAAAGGAAATATCTTCCAATAAAAGCTACATAGAAGCATTCTCAGAAGCTTCATTGGGATGTTTCAATTGAAGTCACAGTGTTGAACAGTCCCTTTCATAGAGCAGGTTTGAAACACCCTTTTTGTAGTATCTGGAAGTGGACATTTGGAGCGTTCTCAGGACTACGGTGAAAAAGGAAATATCTTCCAATAAAAGCTAGATAGAAGCAATGTCAGAAAATTTTTCATGATGTATCTACTCAGCTAACAGAGTTGAACCTTTCTTTTGACAGAGCCGTTTTGAAACACTCTTTTTGTGGAATCTGCAAGTGGATATTTGTCTAGCTTTGAGGATTTCGTTGGAAACGGGATTACATATAAAAAGCAGACAGCAGCATTCCCAGAATCTTCTTTGTGATGTTTGCATTCAAGTCACAGAGTTGAACATTCCCTTTCATAGAGCAGGTTTGAAACACTCTTTTTGTAGTATCTCGATGTGGACATTTGGAGCGCTTTCAGGCCTATGGTGAAAAAGGAAATATCTTCTCCTGAAAACTAGACAGAAGCATTCTCAGAAACTTATTTGTGATGTGCCTCCTCAACTAACAGTGTTGAACCTTTCTTTTGATAGAGCAGTTTTGAAACACTCTTTTTGTAATATCTGCAAGAGGATATTTGGATAGCTTTGAGGATTTCGTTGGAAACGGGATTGTCTTCACATAAACTCTAGACAGAAGCATTCTCAGAAGCTTCATTGGGATGTTTCAATTGAAGTCACAGTGTTGAACAGTTCCTTTCATAGAACAGGTTTGAAACACTCTTTTTGTAGTATCTGGAAGTGGACATTTGGAGCGCTCTCAGGACTACGGTGAAAAAGGAAATATCTTCCAATAAAAGCTAGATAGAAGCAATGTCAGAAACTTTTTCATGATGTATCTACTCAGCTAACAGAGTTGAACCTTTCTTTTGAGAGAGCAGTTTTGAAACACTCTTTTTGTGGAATCTGCAAGTGGATATTTGTCTAGCTTTGAGGATTTCGTTGGAAACGGGATTACATATAAAAAGCAGACAGCAGCATTCCCAGAAAGTTCTTTGTGATGTTTGCATTCAAGTCACAGAGTTGAACATTCCCTTTCATAGAGCAGGTTTGAAACACTCTTTTTGTAGTATCTGGATGTGGACATTTGCAGCGCTTTCAGGCCTAAGGTGAAAAAGGAAATATCTTCCCCTGAAAACTAGACAGAAGCATTCTCAGAATCTTATTTGTGATGTGCGCCCTCAACTAACAGTGTTGAAGCTTTCTTTTGATAGAGCAGTTTTGAAACACTCTTTTCGTAAAATCTGCAAGAGGATATTTTGATAGCTTTGAGGATTTCGTTGGAAACGGGATTGTCTTCATATAAACTCTAGACAGAAGCATTCTCAGAAGCTTCATTGGGATGTTTCAATTGAAGTCACAGTGTTGAACAGTCCCTTTCATAGAGCAGGTTTGAAACACTCTTTTTGTAGTATCTGGATGTGGACATTTGGAGCGCTTTCAGGCCTATGGTTTAAAAGGAAATATCTTCCCCTGAAAACTAGACAGAAGAATTCTCAGAATCTTATTTGTGATGTGCGCCATCAACTAACAGTGTTGAAGCTTTCTTTTGATAGAGCAGTTTTGAAACACTCTTTTTGTAAAATCTGCAAGAGGATATTTGGATAGCTTTGAGGATTTCGTTGGAAACGGGATTACATATAAAAAGCAGACAGCTAAGCATTCTCCGAAACTTATTTGTGATGGGCGCCCTCAACTAACAGTGTTGAAGCTTTCTTTTGATAGAGCAGTTTTGAAACACTCTTTTTGTAATATCTGCAAGAGGATATTTGGATAGCTTTCAGGATTTCGTTGGAAACGGGATTGTCTTCATATAAACTCTAGACATAAGCATTCTCAGAAGCTTCATTGGGATGTTTCAATTGAAGTCACAGTGTTGAACAGTCCCTTTCATAGAGCAGGTTTGAAACACTCTTTTTGTAGTATCTGGAAGTGGACATTTGGAGCGTTCTGAGGACTACGGTGAAAAAGGAAATATCTTCCAATAAAAGCTAGATAGAAGCAATGTGAGAAACTTTTTCATGATGTATCTACTCAGCTAAAAGAGTTGAACCTTTCTTTTGAGAGAGCAGTTTTGAAACACTCTTTTTGTGGAATCTGCAAGTGGATATTTGTCTAGCTTTGAGGACTTCTTTGGAAACGGGATTACATATAAAAAGCAGACAGCAGCATTCCCAGAAACTTCTTTGTGATGTTTGCATTCAAGTCACAGAGTTGAACATTCCCTTTCATAGAGCAGGTTTGAAACACTCTTTTTGTAGTATCTGGATGTGGACATTTGGAGCGCTTTCAGGCCTATGGTGAAAAAGGAAATATCTTCCCCTGAAAACTAGACAGAAGCATTCTCAGAAACTTATTTGTCATGTGCGCCCTCAACTAACAGTGTTGAACCTTTCTTTTGATAGAGCAGTTTTGATACACTCTTTTTGTAAAATCCGCAAGAGGATATTTGGATAGCTTTGAGGATTTCGTTGGAAACGGGATTGTCTTCATATAGAATCTAGACAGAAGCATTCTCAGAAGCGTCATTGGGATGTTTCAATTGAAGTCACAGTGTTGAACAGTCCCTTTCATAGAGCAGGTTTGAAACACTCTTTTTGTAGTATCTGGATGTGGACATTTGGAGCGCTTTCAGGCCTATGGTTTAAAAGGAAATATCTTCCCTTGAAAACTAGACAGAAGCATTCTCAGAAACTTATTTGTGATGTGCGCCCTCAACTAACAGTGTTGAAGCATTCTTTTGATAGAGCAGTTTTGAAACACTCTTTTTGTGGAATCTGCAAGTGGATATTTGTCTAGCTTTGAGGATTTCGTTGTTAACGGGATTACATATAAAAAGCAGACAGCAGCATTCTCAGAAACTTATTTGTGATGTGCGCCCTCAACTAACAGTGTTGAAGCTTTCTTTTGATAGAGCAGTTTTGAAACACTCTTTTTGTAATATCTGCAAGAGGATATTTGGATAGCTTTGAGGATTTCGTTGGAAACGGGATTAATTATACAAAGCAGACAGCAGCATTCTTAGAAATTTCTTTGGGATGTTTCAATTGACGTCACAGTGTTGAACATTCCCTTTGATAGAGCAGGTTTGAAACACTCTTCTTGTAGTATCTGGAAGTAGACATTTGGAGCGCTCTCAGGACTACAGTGAAAAAGGAAATATCTTCCAATAAAAGCTAGATAGAAGCAATGCAGAAACTTTTTCATGATGTATCTACTCACCTAAAGGAGTTGAACCTTTCTTTTGCGAGAGCAGTTTTGAAACACTCTTTTTGTGGAATCTGCAAGTGGATATTTGTCTAGCTTTGAGGATTTCGTTGGAAACGGGATTACATATAAAAAGCAGACAGCAGCATTCCCAGAAACTTCTTTGTGATATTTGCATTCAAGTCACAGACTTGAACATTCCCTTTCATAGAGCAGGTTTGAAACACTCTTTTTGTAGTATCTGGATGTGGACATTTGGAGCGCTTTCAGGCCTATGGTGAAAAAGGAAATATCTTCCCCTGAAAACTAGACAGAAGCATTCTCAGAATCTTATTTGTGATGTGCGCACTCAACTAACAGTGTTGAAGCTTTCTTTCGATAGAGCAGTTTTGAAACACTCTTTTTGTAAAATCTGCAAGAGGATATTTGGATAGCTTTGAGGATTTCGTTGGAAACGGGATTGTCTTCATATAAACTCTAGACAGAAGCATTCTCAGAAGCTTCATTGGGATGTTTCAATTGAAGTCACAGTGTTGAACAGTCCCTTTCATAGAGCAGGTTTGAAACACTCTTTTTGTAGTATCTGGAAGTGGACATTTGGAGCGCTCTCAGGACTACGGTGAAAAAGGAAATATCTTCCAATAAAAGCTAGATAGAAGCAATGTCAGAAACATTTTCATGATGCATCTACTCAGCTAATAGAGTTGAACCTTTCTTTTGACAGAGCAGTTTTGAAACACTCTTTTTGTGGAATCTGCAAGTGGATATTTGTCTAGCTTTGAGGATTTCGTTGGAAACGGGATTACATATAAAAAGCAGATAGCAGCATTACCAGAAAGTTCTTTGTGAAATTTGCATTCAAGTCACAGACTTGAACATTTCCTTTCATAGAGCAGGTTTGAAACACTCTTTTTGTAGTATCTGGATGTGGACATTTGGAGCGCTTTCAGGCCTATGGTGAAAAAGGAAATATCTTCCCCTGAAAACTAGACAGAAGCATTCTCAGAAACTTATTTGTGATGTGCGCCCTCAACTAACAGTGTTGAAGCTTTCTTTTGATAGAGCAGTTTTGAAACACTCTTTTTGTAATATCTGCAAGAGGATATTTGGATAGCTTTGAGGATTTCGTTGGAAACGGGATTGTCTTCATATAAACTCTAGACAGAAGCATTCTCAGAAGCTTCATTGGGATGTTTCAATTGAAGTTGCAGTGTTGAACAGTCCCTTTCATAGAGCAGGTTTGAAACACTCTTTTTGTAGTATCTGGATGTGGACATTTGGAGCGCTTTCAGGCCTATGGTTTAAAAGGAAATATCTTCCCCTGAAAACTAGACAGAAGCATTCTCAGAAACTTATTTGTGATGTGCCCCCTCAACTAACAGTGTTGAAGCTTTCTTTTGATAGAGCAGTTTTGAAACACTCTTTTTGTGGAATCTGCAAGTGGATATTTGTCTAGCTTTGAGGATTTCGTTGGAAACGGGATTACATATAAAAAGCAGCCAGCAGCATTCTCAGTAAACTTATTTGTGATGTGCGCCCTCAACTAACAGTGTTGAACCTTTCTTTTGATAGAGCAGTTTTGAAACACTCTTTTTGTAATATCTGCAAGAGGATATTTGGATAGCTTTGAGGATTTCGTTGGAAACGGGATTGTCTTCATATAAACTCTAGACAGAAGCATTCTCAGAAGCTTCATTGGGATGTTTCAATTGAAGTCACAGTGTTGAACAGTCCCTTTCATAGAGCAGGTTTGAAACACTCTTTTGGTAGTATCTGGAAGTGGACATTTGGAGCGCTCTCAGGACTGCGGTGAAAAAGGAAATATCTTCCAATAAAAGCTAGATAGAAGCAATGTCAGAAACTTTTTCATGATGTATCTACTCAGCTAACAGAGTTGAACCTTTCTTTTGAGAGAGCAGTTTTGAAACACTCTTTTTGTGGAATCTGCAAGTGGATATTTGTCTAGCTTTGAGGATTTCGTTGGAAACGGGATTACATATAAAAACCAGACAGCAGCATTCCCAGAAACTTCTTTGTGAAGTTTGCATTCAAGTCACAGAGTTGAACATTCCCTTTCATAGAGCAGGTTTGAAACACTCTTTTTGTAGTATCTGTATGTGGACATTTGGAGCGCTTTCAGGCCTATGGTGAAAAAGGAAATATCTTCCCCTGAAAACTAGACAGAAGCATTCTCAGAATCTTATTTGTGATGTGCGCCCTCAACTAACAGTGTTGAAGCTTTCTTTTGATAGAGCAGTTTTGAAACACTCTTTTTGTAAAATCTGCAAGAGGATATTTGGATAGCTTTGAGGATTTCATTGGAAACGGGATTGTCTTCATATAAACTCTAGACAGAAGCATTCTCAGAAGCTTCATTGGGATGTTTCAATTGAAGTCACAGTGTTGAACAGTCCCTTTCATAGAGCAGGTGTGAAACACTCTTTTTGTAGTATCTGGATGTGGACATTTGGAGCGCTTTCAGGACTATGGTGAGAAAGGAAATATCTTCCCCTGAAAAGTAGACAGAAGCATTCTCAGAAACTTATTTGTGATGTGCGCCCTCAACTAACAGTGTTGAAGCTTTCTTTTGATAGAGCAGTTTTGAAACACTCTTTTTGTGGAATCTGCAAGTGGATATTTGTCTAGCTTTGAGAATTTCGTTGGAAACGGGATTACATATAAAAAGGAGACAGCTAAGCATTCTCCGAAACTTATTTGTGATGGGCGCCCTCAACTAACAGTGTTGAAGCTTTCTTTTGATAGAGCAGTTTTGAAACACTCTTTTTGTAATATCTGCAAGAGGATATTTGGATAGCTTTCAGGATTTCGTTGGAAACGGGATTGTCTTCATATAAACTCTAGACATAAGCATTCTCAGAAGCTTCATTGGGATGTTTCAATTGAAGTCACAGTGTTGAACAGTCCCTTTCATAAAGCAGGTTTGAAACACTCTTTTTGTAGTATCTGGAAGTGGACATTTTGAGCGCTCTCAGGACTACGGTGAAAAAGGAAATATCTTCCAATAAAAGCTAGATAGAAGCAATGTCAGAAAATTTTTCAGGATGTATCTACTCAGCTAACAGTGTTGAACCTTTCTTTTGAGAGAGCAGTTTTGAAACACTCTTTTTGTGGAATCTGGAAGTGGATATTTGTCTAGCTTTGAGGATTTTGTTGGAAACGGGATTACATATAAAAAGGAGACAGCAGCATTCACAGAAATTTCTTTGTGATGTTTGCATTCAAGTCACAGAGTTGAACATTCCCTTTCTTAGAGCAGGTTTGAAACACTCTTTTTGTAGTATCTGGATGTGGACATTTGGAGCGCTTTCAGGCCTATGGTGAAAAAGGAAATATCTTCCCCTGAAAACTAGACACAAGAATTCTCAGAATCTTATTTGTGATGTGCGCCCTCAACTAACAGTGTTCAAGCTTTCTTTTGATAGAGCAGTTTTGAAAAACTCTTTTCGTAAAATCTGCAAGAGGATATTTTGATAGCTTTGAGGATTTCGTTGGAAACGGGATTGTCTTCATATAAACTCTAGACAGAAGCATTCTCAGAAGCTTCATTGGGATGTTTCAATTGAAGTCACAGTGTTGAACAGTCCCTTTCATAGAGCAGGTTTGAAACACTCTTTTTGTAGTATCTGGATGTGGACATTTGGAGCGCTTTCAGGCCTATGGTGAAAAAGGAAATATCTTCCCCTGAAAACTAGACAGAAGCATTCTCAGAAACTTATTTGTGATGTGCGCCCTCAACTAACAGTGTTGAAGCTTTCTTTTGATAGAGCAGTTTTGAAACACTCTTTTTGTGGAATCTGCAAGTGGATATTTGTCTAGCTTTGAGGATTTCGTTGGAAACGGGATTACATATAAAAAGCAGACAGCAGCATTCTCAGCAAACTTATTTGTGATGTGCGCCCTCAACTAACAGTGTGGAACTTTTCTTTTGATAGAGCAGTTTTGAAACACTCTTTTTGTAAAATCTGCAAGAGGATATTTGGATAGCTTTGAGGATTTCGTTGGAAACGGGATTGTCTTCATATAGAATCTAGACAGAAGCATTCTCAGAAGCTTCATTGGGATGTTTCAATTGAAGTCACAGTGTTGAACACTCCCTTTCATAGAGCAGGTTTGAATCACTCTTTTTGTAGTATCTGGAAGTGGACATTTGGAGCGCTCTCAGGACTACGGTGAAAAAGGAAATATCTTCCAATAAAAGCTACATAGAAGCAATGTCAGAAACTTTTTCATGATGTATCTACTCAGCTAACAGAGTTGAACCTTTCCTTTGAGAGAGCAGTTTTGAAACACTCTTTTTGTGGAATCTGCAAGTGGATATTTGTCTAGCTTTGAGGATTTCGTTGGAAACGGGATTACATATAAAAAGCAGACAGCAGCATTACCAGTAACTTCTTTGTGGTGTTTGCATTCAAGTCACAGAGTTGAACATTCCCTTTCATAGAGCAGGTTTGAAACACTCTTTTTGTAGTATCTGGATGTGGACATTTGGAGCGCTTTCAGGTCTATGGTGAAAAAGGAAATATCTTCCCCTGAAAACTAGACAGAAGCACTCTCAGAATTTTATTTGTGATGTGCGCCCTCAACTAACAGTGTTGAAGCTTTCTTTTGATAGAGCAGTTTTGAAACACTCTTTTTGTAAAATCTGCAAGAGGATATTTGGATAGCTTTGAGGATTTCTTTGGAAACTGGATTGTCTTCATATAAACTCTAGACAGAAGCATTCTCAGAAGCTTCATTGGGATGTTTCAATTGAAGTCACAGTGTTGAACAGTCCCTTTCATAGAGCAGGTTTGAAACACTCTTTTTGTAGTATCTGGATGTGGACATTTGGAGCGCTTTCAGGCATATGGTGAAAAAGGAAATATCTTCCCCTGAAAACTAGACAGAAGCATTCTCAGAAACTTATTTGTGATGTGCGCCCTCAACTAACAGTGTTGAACCTTTCTTTTGATAGAGCAGTTTTGAAACACTCTTTTTCTAATATCTGCAAGAGGATATTTGGATAGCTTTGAGGATTTCGTTGGAAACGGGATTACATATAAAAAGCAGACAGCAGCATTCTCAGAAACTTATTTGTGATGTGCGCCCTCAACTAACAGTGTTGAAGCTTTCTTTTGATAGAGCAGTTTTGAAACACTCTTTTTGTAATATCTGCAAGAGGATATTTGGATAGCTTTGAGGATTTCGTTGGAAACGGGATTAATTATACAAAGCAGACAGCAGCATTCTCAGAAGCTTCATTGGGATGTTTCAATTGAAGTCACAGTGTTGAACAGTCCCTTTCATAGAGCAGGTTTGAAACACTCTTTTTGTAGTATCTGGAAGTGGACATTTGGAGAGATCTCAGGAATACGGTGATAAAGGAAATATCTTCCAATAAAAGCTACATAGAAGCAATGTCAGAAAATTGTTCATGATGTATCTACTCAGCTAACAGAGTTGAACCTTTCTTTTGAGAGAACAGTTTTGAAACACACTTTTTGTGGAATATGCAAGTGGATATTTGTCTAGCTTTGAGGATTTCGTTGGAAACGGGATTACATATAAAAGGCAGACAGAAGCATTCCCAGAAACTTCTTTGTGATGTTTGCATTCAAGTCACAGAGTTGGACATTCCCTTTCATAGAGCAGGTTTGAAACACTCTTTTTGTAGTATCTGGATGTGGACATTTGGAGCGCTTTCAGGCCTATGCTGAAAAAGGAAATATCTTCCCCTGAAAACTAGACAGAAGCATTCTCAGAATTTTATTTGTGATGTGCGCCCTCAACTAACAGTGTTGAAGCTTTCTTTTGATAGAGCAGTTTTGAAACACTCTTTTTGTAAAATCTGCAAGAGGATATTTGGATAGCTTTGAGGATTTCATTGGAAACGGGATTGTCTTCATATAAACTCTAGACAGAAGCATTCTCAGAAGCTTCATTGGGATGTTTCAATTGAAGTCACAGTGTTGAACAGTCCCTTTCATAGAGCAGGTTTGAAACACTCTTTTTGTAGTATCTGGAAGTGGACATTTTGAGAGATCTCAGGACTACGGTGAAAAAGGAAATATCTTCCAATAAAAGCTAGATAGAAAGCAAAGTCAGTAAACTTTTTAATGATCTATCTACTCAGCTAACAGAGTTGAACCTTTCTTTTGAGAGAGCAGTTTTGAAACACTCTTTTGGTGGAATCTGCAAGTGGATATTTGTCTAGCTTTGAGGATTGCGTTGGAAACGGGATTACATATAAAAAGCAGACAGCAGCATTCCCAGAAACTTCTTTGTGATGTTTGCATTCAAGTCACAGAGTTGAACATTCCCTTTCATAGAGCAGGTTTGAAACACTCTTGTTGTAGTATTTGGATGTGGACATTTGGAGCGCTTTCAGGCCTATGGTGAAAAAGGAAATATCTTCCCCTGAAAACTAGACAGAAGCATTCTCAGAAATTTATTTGTGATGTGCGCCCTCAACTAACAGTGTTGAAGCTTTCTTTTGATAGAGCAGTTCTGAAACACTCTTTTTGTAAAATCTGCTAGAGGATATTTGGATAGCTTTGAGGATTTCTTTGGAAACGGGATTGTCTTCATATAAACTCTAGACAGAAGCATTCTCAGAAGCTTCATTGGGATGTTTCAATTGAAGTCACAGTGTTGAACAGTCCCTTTCATAGAGCAGGTTTGAAACACTCTTTTTGTAGTATCTGGATGTGGACATTTCGAGCGCTTTCAGGCCTATGGTGAAAAAGGAAATATCTTCCCCTGAAAACTAGACAGAAGCATTCTCAGAAACTTATTTGTGATGTGCGCCCTCAACTAACAGTGTTGAACCTTTCTTTTGATAGAGCAGTTTTGAAACACTCTTTTTGTAATATCTGCAAGAGGATATTTGGATAGATTTGAGGATTTCGTTGGAAACGGGATTACATATAAAAAGCAGACAGCTAAGCATTCTCCGAAACTTATTTGTGATGGGCGCCCTCAACTAACAGTGTTGAAGCTTTCTTTTGATAGAGCAGTTTTGAAACACTCTTTTTGTAATATCTGCAAGAGGATATTTGGATAGCTTTCAGGATTTCGTTGGAAACGGGATTGTCTTCATATAAACTCTAGACATAAGCATTCTCAGAAGCTTCATTGGGATGTTTCAATTGAAGTCACTGTGTTGAACAGTCCCTTTCATAGAGCAGGTTTGAAACACTCTTTTTGTAGCATCTGGAAGTGGACATTTGGAGCGTTCTCAGGACTACGGTGAAAAAGGAAATATCTTCCAATAAAAGCTAGATAGAAGCAATGTGAGAAACTTTTTCATGATGTATCTACTCAGCTAACAGAGTTGAACCTTTCTTTTGAGAGAGCAGTTTTGAAACACTCTTTTTGTGGAATCTGCAAGTGGATATTTGTCTAGCTTTGAGGATTTCGTTGGAAACGGGATTACATATAAAAAGCAGACAGCAGCATTCCCAGAAATTTCTTTGTGATGTTTGCATTCAAGTCACAGAGTTGAACATTCCCTTTCATAGAGCAGGTTTGAAACACTCTTTTTGTAGTATCTGGATGTGGACATTTGGAGCGCTTTCAGGCCTATGGTGAAAAAGTAAATATCTTCCCCTGAAAACTAGACGGAAGCATTCTCAGAAACTTAGTTGTGATGTGCGCCCTCAACTAACAGTGTTGAAGCTTTCTTTTGATAGAGCAGTTTTGAAACACTCTTTTTGTAAAATCTGCAAGAGGATATTTGGATAGCTTTGAGGATTTCGTTGGAAACGGGATTGGCTTCATATAAACTCTAGACAGAAGCATTCTCAGAAGCTTCATTGGGATGTTTCAATTGAAGTCACAGTGTTGAACAGTCCCTTTCATAGAGCAGGTTTGAAACACTCTTTTTGTAGTATCTGGATGTGGACATTTGGAGCGCTTTTAGGCCTATGGTGAAAAAGGAAATATCTTCCCCTGAAAACTAGACAGAAGCATTCTCAGAAACTTATTTGTGATGTGCGCCCTCAACTAACAGTGTTGAAGCATTCTTTTGATAGAGCAGTTTTGAAACACTCTTTTTGTGGAATCTGCAAGTGGATATTTGTCTAGCTTTGAGGATTTCGTTGGAAACGGGATTACATATGAAAAGCAGACAGCTAAGCATTCTCCGAAACTTATTTGTGATGGGCGCCCTCAACTAACAGTGTTGAAGCTTTCTTTTGATAGAGCAGTTTTGAAACACTCTTTTTGTAATATCTGCAAGAGGATATTTGGATAGCTTTCAGGATTTCGTTGGAAACGGGATTGTCTTCATATAAACTCTAGACATAAGCATTCTCAGAAGCTTCATTGGGATGTTTCAATTGAAGTCACACTGTTGAACAGTTCCTTTCATAGAACAGGTTTGAAACACTCTTTTTGTAGTATCTGGAAGTGGACATTTGGAGCGCTCTCAGGACTACGGTGAAAAAGGAAATATCTTCCAATAAAAGCTACATAGAAGCAATGTCAGAAACTTTTTCATGATGTATCTACTCAGCTAACAGATTTGAACCTTTCCTTTGAGAGAGCAGTTTTGAAACACTCTTTTTGTGGAATCTGCAGGTGGATATTTGTCTAGCTTTGAGGATTTCGTTGGAAACGGGATTACATATAAAAAGCAGACAGCCAGCATTCCCAGAAACTTCTTTGTGATGTTTGCTTTCAAGTCACAGAGTTGAACATTCCCTTTCATAGAACAGGTTTGAAACACTCTTTTTGTAGTATCTGGATGTGGACATTTGGAGCGCTTTCACGCCTAAGGTGAAAAAGGAAATATCTTCCCCTGGAAACTAGACAGAGCATTCTCAGAAACTTATTTGTGATGTGCGCCCTCAATTAACAGTGTTGAATCTTTCTTTTGATAGAGCAGTTTTGAAACACTCTTTTTGTAAAATCTGAAAGACGATATTTGGATAGCTTTGAGGATTTCGTTGGAAACAGGATTGTCTTCATATAAACTCTAGACAGAAGCATTCTCAGAAGCTTCATTGGGATGTTTCAATTGAAGTCACAGTGTTGAACAGTCCCTTTCATAGAGCAGGTTTGAAACACTCTTTTTGTAGTATCTGGATGTGGACATTTCGAGCGCTTTCAGGCCTATGGTGAAAAAGGAAATATCTTCCCCTGAAAACTAGACAGAAGCATTCCCAGAAAGCTCTTTGTGAAATTTGCATTCAAGTCACAGACTTGAACATTCCCTTTCATAGAGCAGGTTTGAAACACTCTTTTTGTAGTATCTGGATGTGGACATTTGGAGCGCTTTCAGGCCTATGGTGAAAAAGGAATTATCTTCCCCTGTAAACTAGACAGAAGCATTCTCAGAAACTTATTTGTGATGTGCGCCCTCAACTAAAAGTGTTGAACCTTTCTTTTGATAGAGCAGTTTTGAAACACTCTTTTGTAAAATCTGGAAGAGGATATTTGGATAGCTTTGAGGATTTCTTTGGAAACGGGATTGTCTTCATATAGAATCTAGACAGAAGCATTCTCAGAAGCTTCATTGGGATGTTTCAATTGAAGTCACAGTGTTGAACAGTCCCTTTCATAGAGCATGTTTGAAACAATCTTTTTGTAGTATCTGGAAGTGGACATTTGGAGCGCTCTCAGGACTACGGTGAAAAAGGAAATATCTTCCAAATAAAGCTAGATAGAAGCAATGTCAGAATCTTTTTCATGATGTGTCTACTCAGCTAACAGAGTTGAACCTTCCTTTGAGAGAGCAGTTTTGAAACACTCTTTTTGTGGAATCTGCAAGTGGATATTTGTCTAGCTTTGAGGATTTCGTTGGAAACGGGATTACATATAAAAAGCAGACAGCAGCATTCCCAGTAACTTCTTTGTGATGTTTGCATTCAAGTCACAGAGTTGAACATTCCCTTTCATAGAGCAGGTTTGAAACACTTTTTTTGTAGTATCTGGATGTGGACATTTGGAGCGCTTTCAGGCCTATGGTGAAAAAGGAAATATCTTCCAATAAAAGCTACATAAAAGCATTCTCAGCAATCTTATTTGTGATGTGCGCCCTCAACTAACAGTGTTGAAGCTTTCTTTTGATAGAGCAGTTTTGAAACACTCTTTTTGTAAAATCTGCAAGAGGATATTTGGATAGCTTTGAGGATTTCGTTGGAAACGGGATTGTCTTCATATAAACTCTAGACAGAAGCATTCTCAGAAGCTTCATTGGGATGTTTCAATTGAAGTCACAGTGTTGAACAGTCCCTTTCATAGAGCAGGTTTGAAACACTCTTTTTGTAGTATCTGGATGTGGACATTTGGAGTGCTTTCAGGCCTATGGTTTAAAAGGAAATATCTTCCCCTGAAAACTGGACAGAAGCATTCTCAGAAACTTATTTGTGATGTGCGCCCTCAACTAACAGTGTTGAAGCTTTCTTTTGATAGAGCAGTTTTGAAACACTCTTTTTGTGGAATCTGCAAGTGGATATTTGTCTAGCTTTCAGGATTTCGTTGGAAACGGGATTACATATAAAAAGCAGACAGCAGCATTCTCAGAAAACTTATTTGTGATGTGCGCCCTAAACTAACAGTGTTGAACCTTTCTTTTGATAGAGCAGTTTTGAAACACTCTTTTTGTAATATCTGCAAGAGGATATTTGGATAGCTTTGAGGATTTCGTTGGAAACGGGATTGTCTTCATATAAACTCTAGACAGAAGCATTCTCAGAAGCTTCATTGGGATGTTTCAATTGAAGTCACAGTGTTGAACAGTCCCTTTCATAGAGCAGGTTTGAAACACTCTTTTTGTAGTATCTGGAAGTGGACATTTGGAGCGCTCTCAGGACTGCGGTGAAAAAGGAAATATCTTCCAATAAAAGCTAGATAGAAGCAATGTGAGAAACTTTTTCATGATGTATCTACTCAGCTAAAAGAGTTGAACCTTTCTTTTGAGAGAGCAGTTTTGAAACACTCTTTTTGTGGAATCTGCAAGTGGATATTTGTCTAGCTTTGAGGATTTCTTTGGAAACGGGAATACATATAAAAAGCAGACAGCAGCATTCCCAGTAACTTCTTTGTGATGTTTGCATTCAAGTCACAGAGTTGAACATTCCCTTTCATAGAGCAGGTTTGAAACACTCTTTTTGTAGTATCTGGATGTGGACATTTGGAGCGCTTTCAGGCCTATGGTGAAAAAGGAAATATCTTCCCCTGAAAACTAGACAGAAGCATTCTCAGAAACTTATTTGTGATGTGCGCCCTCAACTAACAGTGTTGAACCTTTCTTTTCATAGAGCAGTTTTTAAACACTCTTTTTCTAAAATCTGCAAGAGGATATTTGGATAGCTTTGAGGATTTCGTTGGAAACGGGATTGTCTTCATATAAACTCTAGACAGAAGCATTCTCAGAAGCTTCATTGGGATGTTTCAATTGAAGTCACAGTGTTGAACATTCCCTTTCATAGAGCAGGTTTGAAACACTCTTTTTGTAGTATCTGGATGTGGACATTTGGAGCGCTTTCAGGCCTATGGTTTAAAAGGAAATATCTTCCCCTGAAAACTAGACAGAAGCATTCTCAGAAACTTATTTGTGATGTGCGCCCTCAGCTAACAGTGTTGAAGCTTTCTTTTCATAGAGCAGTTTTGAAAAACTCTTTTTGTGGAATCTGCAAGTGGATATTTGTCTAGCTTTGAGGATTTCGTTGGAAACGTGATTACATATAAAAAGCAGACAGCAGTATTCTCAGAAACTTATTTGTGATGTGCGCCCTCAACTAACAGTGTTGAAGCTTTCTTTTGATAGAGCAGTTTTGAAACACTCTTTTTGTAATATCTGCAAGAGGATATTTGGATAGCTTTGAGGATTTCGTTGGAAACGGGATTGTCTTCATATAAACTCTAGACAGAAGCATTCTCAGAAGCTTCATTGGGATGTTTCAATTGAAGTCACAGTGTTGAACAGTCCCTTTCATAGAGCAGGTTTGAAACACTCTTTTTGTAGTATCTGGAAGTGGACATTTGGAGAGATCTCAGGACTACGGTGATAAAGGAAATATCTTCCAATAAAAGCTAGATAGAAGCAATGTCAGAAACTTTTTCATGATGTATCTACTCAGCTAACAGAGTTGAACCTTTCTTTTGAGAGAGCAGTTTTGAAACACTCTTTTTGTGGAATCTGCAAGTGGATATTTGTCTAGCTTTGAGGATTTCGTTGGAAACGGGATTACATATAAAAAGCAGACAGCAGCATTCCCAGAAACTTCTTTGTGATGTTTGCATTCAAGTCACAGAGTTGAACATTCCCTTTCATAGAGCAGGTTTGAAACTCTCTTTTTGTAGTATCTGGATGTGGACATTTGGAGCGCTCTCAGGCCTATGGTTGAAAAGGAAATATCTTCCCCTGAAAACTAGACAGAAGCATTCTCAGAAACTTATTTGTGATGTGCGCCCTCAACTAACAGTGTTGAAGCTTTCTTTTGATAGAGCAGTTTTGAAACACTCTTTTTGTAATATCTGCAAGAGGATATTTGGATAGCTTTGAGGATTTCGTTGGAAACGGGATTGTCTTCATATAAACTCTAGGCAGAAGCATTCTCAGAAGCTTCATTGGGATGTTTCAATTGAAGTCACAGTGTTGAACAGTTCCTTTCATAGAACAGGTTTGAAACACTCTTTTTGTAGTATCTGGAAGTGGACATTTGGAGCGCTCCCAGGACTATGGTGAAAAAGGAAATATCTTCCAATAAAAGCTACATAGAAGCAATGTCAGAAACTTTTTCATGATGTATCTACTCAGCTAACAGAGTTGAACCTTTCCTTTGAGAGAGCAGTTTTGAAACACTCTTTTTGTGGAATCTGCAAGTGGATATTTGTCTAGCTTTGAGGATTTCGTTGGAAACGGGATTACATATAAAAAGCAGACAGCAGCATTCCCAGAAACTTCTTTGTGATATTTGCATTCAAGTCACAGACTTGAACATTCCCTTTCATAGAGTAGGTTTGAAACACTCTTTTTGTAGTATCTGGATGTGGACATTTGCAGCGCTTTCAGGCTTATGGTGAAAAAGGAAATATCTTCCCCTGAAAACTAGACAGAAGCATTCTCAGAATTTTATTTGTGATGTGCGCCCTCAACTAACAGTATTGAAGCTTTCTTTTGATAGAGCAGTTTTGAAACACTCTTTTTGTAAAATCTGCTAGAGGATATTTGGATAGCTTTGAGGATTTCGTTGGAAACGGGATTGTCTTCATATAAACTCTAGACAGAAGCATTCTCAGAAGCTTCATTGGGATGTTTCAATTGAAGTCACAGTGTTGAACAGTCCCTTTCATAGAGCAGGTTTGAAACACTCTTTTTGTAGTATCTGGATGTGGACATTTGGAGCGCTTTCAGGCCTATGGTGAAAAAGGAAATATCTTCCCCTGAAAACTAGACAGAAGCATTCTCAGAAACTTATTTGTGATGTGCGCCCTCAACTAACAGTGTTGAACCTTTCTTTTGATAGAGCAGTTTTGAAACACTCTTTTTGTAATATCTGCAAGAGGATATTTGGATAGCTTTGAGGATTTCGTTGGAAACGGGATTACATATAAAAAGCAGACAGCAGCATTCTCAGAAACTTATTTGTGATGTGCGCCCTCAACTAACAGTGTTGAAGCTTTCTTTTGATAGAGCAGTTTTGAAACACTCTTTTTGTAATATCTGCAAGAGGATATTTGGATAGCTTTGAGGATTTCGTTGGAAACGGGATTAATTATACAAAGCAGACAGCAGCATTCTCAGAAGCTTCATTGGGATGTTTCAATTGAAGTCACAGTGTTGAACAGTTCCTTTCATAGAACAGGTTTGAAACACTCTTTTTGTAGTATCTGGAAGTGGACATTTGGAGCGCTCTCAGGACTACGGTGAAAAAGGAAATATCTTCCAATAAAAGCTACATAGAAGCAATGTCAGAAACTTTTTCATGATGTATCTACTCAGCTAACAGAGTTTAACCTTTCTTTTGAGAGAGCAGTTTTGAAACACTCTTTTTGTGGAATCTGCAAGTGGATATTTGTCTAGCTTTGAGGATTACGTTGGAAACGGGATTACATATAAAAAGCAGACAGCAGCATTCCCAGTAAAGCTCTTTGTGAAATTTGCATTCAAGTCACAGACTTGAACATTCCCTTTCATAGAGCAGGTTTGAAACACTCTTTTTGTAGTATCTGGATGTGGACATTTGGAGCGCTTTCAGGCCTATGGTGAAAAAGGAATTATCTTCCCCTGTAAACTAGACAGAAGCATTCTCAGAAACTTATTTGTCATGTGCGCCCTCAACTAACAGTGTTGAACCTTTCTTTTGATAGAGCAGTTTTGATACACTCTTTTTGTAAAATCCGCAAGAGGATATTTGGATAGCTTTGAGGATTTCGTTGGAAACGGGATTGTCTTCATATAGAATCTAGACAGAAGCATTCTCAGAAGCTTCATTGGGGATGTTTCAATTGAAGTCACAGTGTTGAACAGTCCCTTTCATAGAGCAGGTTTGAAACACTCTTTTTGTAGTATCTGGATGTGGACATTTCGAGCGCTTTCAGGCCTATGGTGAAAAAGGAAATATCTTCCCCTGAAAACTAGACAGAAGCATTCTCAGAAACTTATTTGTGATGTGCGCCCTCAACTAACAGTGTTGAACCTTTCTTTTGATAGAGCAGTTTTGAAACACTCTTTTTGTAATATCTGCAAGAGGATATTTGGATAGCTTTGAGGATTTCGTTGGAAACGGGATTAATTATAAAAAGCAGACAGCAGCATTCTCAGCAAACTTATTTGTGATGTGCGCCCTCAACTAACAGTGTGGAACTTTTCTTTTGATAGAGCAGTTTTGAAACACTCTTTTTGTAAAATCTGCAAGAGGATATTTGGATAGCTTTGAGGATTTCGTTGGAAACGGGATTGTCTTCATATAGAATCTAGACAGAAGCATTCTCAGAAGCTTCATTCGGATGTTTCAATTGAAGTAACAGTGTTGAACAGTCCCTTTCATAGAGCAGGTTTGAAACACTCTTTTTGTAGTATCTGGAAGTGGACATTTGGAGCGTTCTCAGGACGACAGTGAAAAAGGAAATATCTTCCAATAAAAGCTAGATAGAAGCAATGTCAGAAACTTTTTCATGATGTATCTACTCAGCTAACAGAGTTGAACCTTTTTTTTGAGAGAGCCGCTTTGAAACACTCTTTTTGTTGGATCTGCAGGTGGATATTTGTCTAGATTTGAGGATTTCGTTGGAAACGGGATTACATATAAAAAGCAGACAGCAGCATTCCCAGAATCTTCTTTGTGATGTTTGCATTCAAGTCACAGAGTTGAACATTCCCTTTCATAGAGCAGGTTTGAAACACTCTTTTTGTAGTATCTGGATGTGGACATTTGGAGCGCTTTCAGGCCTATGGTGAAAAAGGAAATATACTTCCCCTGAGAACTAGACAGAAGCATTCTCAGAAACTTATTTGTGATGTGCGCCCTCAACTAAGAGTGTTGAACCTTTCTTTTGATAGAGCAGGTTTGAAACACTCTTTTTGTAATATCTGCAAGAGGATATTTGGATAGCTTTGAGGATTTCATTGGAAACGGAATTGTCTTCATAAAAACTCTAGACAGAAGTATTCTCAGAAGCTTCATTGGGATGTTTCAATTGAAGTCACAGTGTTGAACAGTCCCTTTCATAGAGCAGGTTTGAAACACTCTTTTTGTAGTATCCGGATGTGGACATTTGGAGCGCTTTCAGGCCTATGGTGAAAAAGGAAATATCTTCCCCTGAAAACTAGACAGAAGCATTCTCAGAAACTTATTTGTGATGTGCGCCTTCAACTAACAGTGTTGAAGCATTCTTTTGATAGAGCAGTTTTGAAACACTCTTTTTGTGGAATCTGCAAGAGGATATTTGTCTAGCTTTGAGGATTTCGTTGGAAACGGGATTACATATAAAAAGCAGACAGCAGCATTCTCAGCAAACTTATTTGTGATGTGCGCCCTCAACTAACAGTGTGGAACTTTTCTTTTGATAGAGCAGTTTTGAAACACTCTTTTTGTAAAATCTGCAAGAGGATATTTGGATAGCTTTGAGGATTTCGTTGGAAACGGGATTGTCTTCATATAGAATCTAGACAGAAGCATTCTCAGAAGCTTCATTGGGATGTTTCAATTGAAGTCACAGTGTTGAACAGTCCCTTTCATAGACCAGGTTTGAAACACTCTTTTTGTAGTATCTGGAAGTGGACATTTGGAACGCTCTCAGGACTGCGGTGAAAAAGGAAATATCTTCCAATAAAAGCTAGATAGAAGCAATGTCAGAAACTTTTTCATGATGTATCTACTCAGCTAACAGAGTTGAACCTTCCTTTGAGAGAGCAGTTTTGAAACACTCTTTTTGTGGAATCTGCAAGTGGATATTTGTCTAGCTTTGAGGATTTCTTTGGAAACGGGATTACATATAAAAAGCAGACAGCAGCATTCCCAGTAACTTCTTTCTGATGTTTGCATTCAAGTCACAGGAGTTGAACGTTCCCTTTCATAGAGCAGGTTTGAAACACTCTTTTTGAAGTATCTGGATGTGGACATTTGGAGCGCTTTCAGGCCTATGGTGAAAAAGGAAATATCTTCCCCTGAAAACTAGACAGAAGCATTCTCAGAATCTTATTTGTGATGTGCGCCCTCAACTAACAGTGTTGAAGCTTTCTTTTGATAGAGCAGTTTTGAAACACTCTTTTTGTAAAATCTGCAAGAGGATATTTGGATAGCTTTGAGGATTTCGTTGGAAACGGGATTGTCTTCATATAAACTCTAGACAGAAGCATTCTCAGAAGCGTCATTGGGATGTTTCAATTGAAGTCACAGTGTTGAACATTCCCTTTCATAGAGCAGGTTTGAAACACTCTTTTTGTAGTATCTGGATGTGGACATTTGGAGCGCTTTCAGGCCTATGGTTTAAAAGGAAATATCTTCCCCTGAAAACTAGACAGAAGCATTCTCAGAAACTTATTTGTGATGTGCGCCCTCAACTAACAGTGTTGAAGCTTTCTTTTGATAGAGCAGTTTTGAAACACTCTTTTTGTGGAATCTGCAAGTGGATATTTGTCTAGCTTTGAGGATTTCGTTGGAAACGGGATTACATATAAAAAGCAGACAGCAGCATTCTCAGTAAACTTATTTGTGATGTGCGCCCTCAACTAACAGTGTTGAACCTTTCTTTTGATAGAGCAGTTTTGAAACACTCTTTTTGTAATATCTGCAAGAGGATATTTGGATAGCTTTGAGGATTTCGTTGGAAACGGGATTGTCTTCATATAAACTCTAGACAGAAGGATTCTCAGAAGCTTCATTGGGATGTTTCAATTGAAGTCACAGTGTTGAACAGTCCCTTTCATAGAGCAGGTTTGAAACACTCTTTTTGTAGTATCTGGAAGTGGACATTTGGAGAGATCTCAGGACTACGGTGAAAAAGGAAATATCTTCCAATAAAAGCTAGATAGAAGCATTGTCAGAAACTTTTTCATGATGTATCTACTCAGCTAACAGAGTTGAACCTTTCTTTTGAGAGAGCAGTTTTGAAACACTCTTTTTGTGGAATCTGCAAGTGGATATTTGTCTAGCTTTGAGGATTTCGTTGGAAACGGGATTACATATAAAAAGCAGACAGCAGCATTCCCAGAATCTTGTTTGTGATGTTTGCATTCAAGTCACAGAGTTGAACATTCCCTTTCAGAGAGCAGGTTTGAAACACTCTTTTTATAGTATCTGGATGTGGACATTTGGAGCGCTTTCAGGCCTATGGAGAAAAAGGAAATATCTTCCCCTGAAAACTAGACAGAAGCATTCTCAGAAACTTATTTGTGATGTGAGCCCTCAACTAACAGTGTTAAACCTTTCTTTTGATAGAGTAGTTTTGAAACACTCTTTTTGTAAAATCTGCAAGAGGATATTTGGATAGCTTTGAGGATTTCGTTGGAAACGGGATTGTCTTCATATAAACTCTAGACAGTAGCATTCTCAGAAGCTTCATTGGGATGTTTCAATTGAAGTCACAGTGTTGAACAGTCCCTTTGATAGAGCAGGTTTGAAACACTCTTTTTGTAGTATCTGGATGTGGACATTTGCAGCGCTTTCAGGCATAAGGTGAAAAAGGAAATATCTTCCCCTGAAAACTAGACAGAAGCATTCTCAGAAACTTATTTGTGATGTGCGCCCTCAACTAACAGTGTTGAAGCATTCTTTTGATAGAGCAGTTTTGAAACACTCTTTTTGTGGAATCTGCAAGTGGATATTTGTGTAGCTTTGAGGATTTCGTTGGAAACGGGATTACATATAAAAAGCAGACTGCAGCATTCTCAGAAACTTATTTGTGATGTGCGCCCTCAACTAACAGTGTTGAACCCTTCTTTTGATAGAGCAGTTTTGAAACACTCTTTTTGTAATATCTGCAAGAGGATATTTGGATAGCTTTGAGGATTTCGTTGGAAACGGGATTGTCTTCATATAAACTCTAGACAGAAGCATTCTCAGAAGCTTCATTGGGATGTTTCAATTGAAGTCACAGTGTTGAACAGTCCCTTTCATAGAGCAGGTTTGAAACACTCTTTTTGTAGTATCTGGAAGTGGACATTTGGAGAGATCTCAGGAATACGGTGATAAAGGAAATATCTTCCAATAAAAGCTAGATAGAAGCAATGTCAGAAACTTTTTCATGATGTATCTACTCAGCTAACAGAGTTGAACCTTTCCTTTGAGAGAGCAGTTTTGAAACACTCTTTTTGTTGAATCTGCAAGTGGATATTTGTCTAGCTTTGAGGATTTCGTTGGAAACGGGATTACATATAAAAAGCATACAGCAGCATTCCCAGTAACTTCTTTGTGATGTTTGCATTCAAGTCACAGAGTTGAACATTCCCTTTCATAGAGCAGGTTTGAAACACTCTTTTTGTAGTATCTGGATGTGGACATTTGGAGCGCTTTCAGGCCTATGGTGAAAAAGGAAATATGTTCCCCTGAAAACTAGACAGAAGCATTCTCAGAAACTTATTTGTGATGTGCGCCCTCAACTAACAGTGTTGAAGCTTTCTTTTGATAGAGCAGTTTTGAAACACTCTTTTTGTAATATCTGCAAGAGGATATTTGGATAGCTTTGAGGATTTCGTTGGAAACGGGATTGTCTTCATATAAACTCTAGACAGAAGCATTCTCAGAAGCTTCATTGGGATGTTTCAATTGAAGTCACAGTGTTGAACAGTCCCTTTCATAGAGCAGGTTTGAAACACTCTTTTTGTAGTATCTGGAAGTGGACATTTTGAGCGCACTCAGGACTATGGCGAAAAAGCAAATATCTTCCAATAAAAGCTACATAGAAGCAATGTCAGAAACTTTTTCATGATGTATCTACTCAGCTAACAGAGTTGAACCTTTCCTTTGAGAGAGCAGTTTTGAAACACTCTTTTTGTGGAATCTGCAAGTGGATATTTGTCTAGCTTTGAGGATTTCGTTGGAAACGGGATTACATATAAAAAGCAGACAGCAGCATTCCCAGTAACTTCCTTGTGATGTTTGCATTCAAGTCACAGAGTTGAACATTCCCTTTCATAGAGCAGGTTTGAAACACTCTTTTTGTAGTATCTGGATGTGGACATTTGGAGCGCTTTCAGGCCTATGGTGAAAAAGGAAATATCTTCCCCTGAAAACTAGACAGAAGCATTCTCAGAATCTTATTTGTGATGTGCGCCCTCAACTAACAGTGTTGAAGCTTTCTTTTGATAAAGCAGTTTTGAAACACTCTTTTTGTAAAATCTGCAAGAGGATATTTGGATAGCTTTGAGGATTTCATTGGAAACGGGATTTTCTTCATATAAACTCTAGACAGAAGCATTCTCAGAAGCTTCATTGGGATGTTTCAATTGAAGTTACAGTGTTGAACAGTCCCTTTCATAGAGCAGGTTTCAAACACTCTTTTTGTAGTATCTGGATGTGGACATTTGGAGCGCTTTCAGGCCTATGGTTTAAAAGGAAATATCTTCCCCTGAAAACTAGACAGAAGCATTCTCAGAAACTTATTTGTGATGTTCGCCTTCAACTAACAGTGTTGAAGCTTTCTTTTGATAGAGCAGTTTTGAAACACTCTTTTTGTGGAATCTGCAAGTGGATATTTGTCTAGCTTTGAGGATTTCGTTGGAAACGGGATTACATATATAAAGCAGACAGCAGCATTCTCAGTAAACTTATTTGTGATGTGCGCCCTCAACTAACAGTGTTGAACCTTTCTTTTGATAGAGCAGTTTTGAAACACTCTTTTTGTAATATCTGCAAGAGGATATTTGGATAGCTTTGAGGATTTCGTTGGAAACGGGATTGTCTTCATATAAACTCTAGACAGAAGCATTCTCAGAAGCTTCATTGGGATGTTTCAATTGAAGTCACAGTGTTGAACAGTCCCTTTCGTAGAGCAGGTTTGAAACACTCTTTTTGTAATATCTGGAAGTGGACATTTGGAGCGTTCTCAGGACTATGGTGAAAAAGGAAATATCTTCCAATAAAAGCTAGATAGAAGCAATGTCAGAAACTTTTTCATGATGTATCTACTCAGCTAACAGAGTTGAACCTTCCTTTGAGAGAGCAGTTTTGAAACACTCTTTTTGTGGAATCTGCAAGTGGATATTTGTCTAGTTTTGAGGATTTCGTTGGAAACGAGATTACATATAAAAAGCAGACAGCAGCATTCCCAGTAACTTCTTTGTGATGTTTGCATTCATGTCACAGAGTTGAACATTCCCTTTCATAGAGCAGGTTTGAAACACTTTTTTTGTAGTATCTGGATGTGGACATTTGGAGCGCTTTCAGGCCTACGGTGAAAAAGGAAATATCTTCCCCTGAAAACTAGAGAGAAGCATACTCAGAATCTTATTTGTGATGTGCGCCCTCAATTAACAGTGTTCAACCTTTCTTTTGATAGAGCAGTTTTGAAACACTCTTTTTGTAAAATCTGCAAGAGGATATTTGGATAGCTTTGAGGATTTCGTTGGAAACGGGATTGTCTTCATATAAACTCTAGACAGAAGAATTCTCAGAAGCTTCATTGGGATGTTTCAATTGAAGTCACAGTGTTGAACAGTCCCTTTCATAGAGCAGGTTTGAAACACTCTTTTTGTAGTATCTGGATGTGGACATTTGGAGCTTTTGCAGGCCTATAGTTTAAAAGGAAATATCTTCCCCTGAAAACTAGACAGAAGCATTCTCAGAAACTTATTTGTGATGTGCGCCCTCAACTAACAGTGTTGAAGGTTTCTTTTGATAGAGCAGTTTTGAAACACTCTTTTTGTGGAATCTGCAAGTGGATATTTGTCTAGCTTTGAGGATTTCGTTGGAAACGGGATTACATATAAAAAGCAGACAGCAGCATTCTCAGCAAACTTATTTGTGATGTGCGCCCTCAACTAACAGTGTGGAACTTTTCTTTTGATAGAGCAGTTTTGAAACACTCTTTTTGTAAAATCTGCAAGAGGATATTTGGATAGCTTTGAGGATTTCGTTGGAAACGGGATTGTCTTCATATAGAATCTAGACAGAAGCATTCTGATAAGCTTCATTGGGATGTTTCAATTGAAGTCACAGTGTTGAACAGTCCCTTTCATAGAGCAGGTTTGAAACACTCTTTTTGTAGCATCTGGAAGTGGACATTTGGAGCGCTCTCAGGACTACGGTGAAAAAGGAAATATCTTCCAATAAAAGGTAGATAGAAGCAATGTCAGAAACTTTTTCATGATGTATCTACTCAGCTAACAGAGTTGAACCTTTCCTTTGAGAGAGCAGTTTTGAAACACTCTTTTTGTGGAATCTGCAAGTGGATATTTGTCTAGCTTTGAGGATTTCGTTGGAAACGGGATTACATATAAAAAGCAGACAGCAGCATTCCCAGAAACTTCTTTGTGATGTTTGCATTCAAGTCACAGAGTTGAACATTCCCTTTCATAGAGCAGGTTTGAAAAACTCTTTTTGTAGTATCTGGATGTGGACATTTGGAGCGCTTTCAAGCCTATGGTGAAAAAGGAAATATCTTCCCCTGAAAACTAGACAGAAGCATTCTCAGAAACTTATTTGTGATGTGCGCCCTCAGCTAACAGTGTTGAACCTTTCTTTTGATAGAGCAGTTTTGAAACACTCTTTTTGTAAAATCTGCAAGAGGATATTTGGATAGATTTGAGGATTTCTTTGGAAACGGGATTGTCTTCATATTAAATGTAGACAAAAGCATTCTCAGAAGCTTCATTGGGATGTTTCAATAGAAGTCACAGTGTTGATCAGTCCCTTTCATAGAGCAGGTTTGAAACACTCTTTTTGTAGTATCTGGAAGTGGACATTTGGAGCGTTCTCAGGACTACAGTGAAAAAGGAAATATCTTGCAATAAAAGCTAGATAGAAGCAATCTCAGAAACTTTTTCATGATGTATCTACTCAGCTAACAGAGTTGAACATTTCTTTTGAGAGAGCCGTTTTGAAACACTCTTTTTGTGGAATCTGCAAGTGGATATTTGTCTAGCTTTGAGGATTTCGTTGGAAACGGGATTACATATAAAAAGCAGACAGAAGCATTCCCAGAAACTTCTTTGTGATGTTTGCATTCAAGTCACAGAATTGAACATTCCCTTTCATAGAGCAGGTTTGAAACACTCTTTTTGTAGTATCTGGATGTGGACATTTGGAGCGCTTTCAGGCCTATGGTGAAAAAGGAAATATCTTCCCCTGAAAACTAGACAGAAGCAATGTCAGAAACTTTTTCATGATGTATCTACTCAGCTAACAGAGTTGAACCTTCCTTTGAGAGAGCAGTTTTGAAACACTCTTTTTGTGGAATCTGCAAGTGGATATTTGTCTAGCTTTGAGGATTTTGTTGGAAACGGGATTACATATAAAAAGCAGACAGCAGCATTCCCAGAAACTTCTTTGTGATGTTTGCATTTAAGTCACAGAGTTGAACATTCCCTTTCATAGAGCAGGTTTGAAACACTCTTTTTGTAGTATCTGGATGTGGACATTTACAGCGCCTTCAGGCCTAAGGTGAAAAAGGAAATATCTTCCCCTGAAAACTAGACAGAAGCATTCTCAGAAACTTATTTGTGATGTGCGCCCTCAACTAACAGTGTTGAAGCTTTCTTTTGATAGAGCAGTTTTGAAACACTCTTTTTGTGGAATCTGCAAGTGGATATTTGTCTAGCTTTGAGGATTTCGTTGGAAACGGGATTACATATTAAAAGCAGACAGCAGCATTCTCAGAAACTTATTTGTGATGTGCGCCCTCAACTAACAGTGTTGAAGCTTTCTTTTGATAGAGCAGTTTTGAAACACTCTTTTTGTAATATCTGCAAGAGGATATTTGGATAGCTTTGAGGATTTCGTTGGAAACGGGATTAATTATACAAAGCAGACAGCAGCATTCTCAGAAGCTTCATTGGGATGTTTCAATTGAAGTCACAGTGTTGAACAGTCCCTTTCATAGAGCAGGTTTGAAACACTCTTTTTGTAGTATCTGGAAGTGGACATTTGGAGAGATCTCAGGAATACGGTGATAAAGGAAATATCTTCCAATAAAAGCTAGATAGAAGCAATGTCAGAAACTTTTTCATGATGTATCTACTCAGCTAACAGTGTTGAACCTTTCTTTTGAGAGAGTAGTTTTGAAACACTCTTTTTGTGGAATCTGCAGGTGGATATTTGTCTAGCTTTGAGGATTTCGTTGGAAACGGGATTACATATAAAAAGCAGACAGCAGCATTCCCAGAATCTTGTTTGTGATGTTTGCATTCAAGTCACAGAGTTGAACATTCCCTTTCAGAGAGCAGGTTTGAAACACTCTTTTTATAGTATCTGGATGTGGACATTTGGAGCGCTTTCAGGCCTATGGTGAAAAAGGAAATATCTTCTCCTGAAAACTAGACAGAAGCATTCTCAGAATCTTATTTGTGATGTGCGCCCTCAACTAACAGTGTTGAAGCTTTCTTTTGATAGAGCAGTTTTGAAACACTCTTTTTGTAATATCTGCAAGAGGATATTTGGATAGCTTTGAGGATTTCGGTGGAAACGGGATTGTCTTCATATAAACTCTAGACAGAAGCATTCTCAGAAGCTTCATTGGGATGTTTCAATTAAAGTCACAGTGTTGAACAGTCCCTTTCATAGAGCAGGTTTGAAACACTCTTTTTGTAGTATCTGGAAGTGGACATTTGGAGCGCTCTCAGGACTGCGGTGAAAAAGGAAATATCTTCCAATAAAAGCTAGATAGAAGCAATGTCAGAAACTTTTTCATGATGTATCTACGCAGCTAACAGTGTTGAACCTTTTTTTTGAGAGAGCAGTTTTGAAACACTCTTTTTTTGGAATCTGCAAGTGGATGTTTGTCTAGCTTAGAGGATTTCGTTGGAAACGGGATTACATATAAAAAGCAGACAGCAGCATTCCCAGAAACTTCTTTGTGATGTTTGCATTCAAGTCACAGAGTTGAACATTCCCTTTCATAGAGCAGGTTTGAAACAGTCTTTTTGTAGTATCTGGATGTGGACATTTGGAGCGCTTTCAGGCCTATGGTGAAAAAGGAAATATCTTCCCCTGAAAACTAGACAGAAGCATTCTCAGAATCTTATTTGTGATGTGCGCCCTCAACTAACAGTGTTGAAGCTTTCTTTTGATAGAGCAGTTTTGAAACACTCTTTTCGTAAAATCTGCAAGAGGATATTTGGATAGCTTTGAGGATTTCGTTGGAAACGGGATTGTCTTCATATAAACTCTAGACAGAAGCATTCTCAGAAGCTTCATTGGGATGTTTCAATTGAAGTCACAGTGTTGAACAGTCCCTTTCATAGAGCAGGTTTGAAACACTCTTTTTGTAGTATCTGGAAGTGGACATTTGTAGAGATCTCAGGAATACGGTGATAAAGGTAATATCTTCCAATAAAAGCTAGATAGAAGCAATGTCAGAAACTTTTTCATGATGTATCTACTCAGCTAACAGAGTTGAACCTTTCTTTTGAGGGAGCAGTTTTGAAACACTCTTTTTGTGGAATCTGCAAGTGGATATTTGTCTAGCTTTGAGGATTTCGTTGGAAACGGGATTACATATAAAAAGCAGACAGCAGCATTCCCAGAAACTTCTTTGTGATGTTTGCATTCAAGTCACAGAGTTGAACATTCCCTTTCATAGAGCAGGTTTGAAACACTCTTTTTGTAGTATCTCGATGTGGACATTTGGAGCGCTTTCAGGCCTATGGTGAAAAAGGAAATATCTTCCCCTGAAAACTAGACAGAAGAATTCTCAGAATCTTATTTGTGATGTGCGCCCTCAACTAACAGTGTTGAAGCTTTCTTTTGATAGAGCAGTTTTGAAACACTCTTTTTGTAAAATCTGCAAGAGGATATTTGGATAGCTTTGAGGATTTCGTTGGAAACGGGATTGTCTTCATATAAACTCTAGACAGAAGCATTCTCAGAAGCGTCATTGGGATGTTTGAATTGAAGTCACAGTGTTGAACAGTCCCTTTCATAGAGCAGGTTTGAAACACTCTTTTTGTAGTATCTGGATGTGGACATTTGGAGCGCTTTCAGGCCTATGGTTTAAAAGGAAATATCTTCCCCTGAAAACTAGACAGAAGCATTCTCAGAAACTTATTTGTGATGTGCGCCCTCAACTAACAGTGTTGAAGCTTTCTTTTGATAGAGCAGTTTTGAAACACTCTTTTTGTGGAATCTGCAAGTGGATATTTGTCTAGCTTTGAGGATTTCGTTGGAAACGGGATTACATATAAAAAGCAGACAGCAGCATTCTCAGCAAACTTATTTGTGATGTGCGCCCTCAACTAACAGTGTGGAACTTTTCTTTTGATAGAGCAGTTTTGAAACACTCTTTTTGTAAAATCTGCAAGAGGATATTTGGATAGCTTTGAGGATTTCGTTGGAAACGGGATTGTCTTCATATAGAATCTAGACAGAAGCATTCTCAGAAGCTTCATTGGGATGTTTCAATTGAAGTCACAGTGTTGAAAAGTCCCTTTCATAGAGCAGGTTTGAAACACTCTTTTTGTAGTAGCTGGAAGTGGACATTTGGAGAGATCTCAGGAATACAGTGATAAAGGAAATATCTTCCAATAAAAGCTAGATAGAAGCAATGTCAGAAACTTTTTCATGATGTATCTACTCAGCTAACAGAGTTGAACCTTTCTTTTGAGAGAGCAGTTTTGAAACACTCTTTTTGTGGAATCTGCAAGTGGATATTTGTCTAGCTTTGAGGATTTCGTTGGAAACGGGATTACATATAAAAAGCAGACAGCAGCATTCCCAGAAACTTCTTTGTGATGTTTGCATTAAAGTCACAAAGTTGAACATTCCCTTTCATAGAGCAGGTTTGAAACACTCTTTTTGTAGTATCTGTATGTGGACATTTGGAGCGCTTTCAGGCCTATGGTGAAAAAGGAAGTATCTTCCCCTGAAAACTAGACAGAAGCATTCTCAGAAACATATTTGTGATGTGCGCCCTCAACTAACAGTGTTAAACCTTTCTATTGATAGAGTAGTTTTGAGACACTCTTTTTGTAAAATCTGCAAGAGGATATTTGGATAGCTTTGAGGATTTCTTTGGAAACGGGATTGTCTTCATATAAAATCTAGACAGAAGCATTCTCAGAAGCTTCATTGGGATGTTTCAATTGAAGTCACAGTGTTGAACATTCCCTTTCATAGAGCAGGTTTGAAACACTCTTTTTGTAGTATCTGGATGTGGACATTTGGAGCGCTTTCAGGCCTATGGTTTAAAAGGAAATATCTTCCCCTGAAAACTAGACAGAAGCATTCTCAGAAACTTATTTGTGATGTGCGCCTTCAACTAACAGTGTTGAAGCATTCTTTTGATAGAGCAGTTTTGAAACACTCTTTTTGTGGAATCTGCAAGTGGATATTTGTCTAGCTTTGAGGATTTCGTTGGAAACGGGATTACATATAAAAAGCAGACAGCAGCATTCTCAGCAAACTTATTTGTGATGTGCGCCCTCAACTAACAGTGTGGAACTTTTCTTTTGATAGAGCAGTTTTGAAACACTCTTTTTGTAAAATCTGCAAGAGGATATTTGGATAGCTTTGAGGATTTCGTTGGAAACGGGATTGTCTTCATATAGAATCTAGACAGAAGCATTCTCAGAAGCTTCATTGGGATGTTTCAATTGAAGTCACAGTGTTGAACAGTCCCTATCGTAGAGCAGGTTTGAAACACTCTTTTTGTAATATCTGGAAGTGGAGTTTTGGAGCGCTCTCAGGAGTACGGTGAAAAAGGAAATATCTTCCAATAAAAGCTAGATAGAAGCAATGTCAGAAACTTTTTCATGATGTATCTACTCAGCTAACAGAGTTGAACCTTTCTTTTGAGAGAGCAGTTTTGAAACCCTCTTTTTGTGGAATCTGCAAGTGGATATTTGTCTAGCTTTGAGGATTTCGTTGGAAACGGGATTACATATAAAAAGCAGACAGCAGCATTCCCAGAAACTTCTTTGTGATGTTTGCATTCAAGTCACAGAGTTGAACATTCCCTTTCGTAGACCAGGTTTGAAACACTCTTTTTGTAGTATCTGTATGTGGACATTTGCAGCGCTTTCAGGCCTAAGGTGAAAAAGGAAATATCTTCCCCTGAAAACTAGACAGAAGCATTCTCAGAAACTTATTTGTGATGTGCGCCCTCAACTAACAGTGTTGAACCTTTCTTTTGATAGAGCAGTTTTGAAACACTCTTTTTGTAAAATCTGCAAGAGGATATTTGGATAGCTTTCAGGATTTCGTTGGAAACGGGATTGTCTTCATATAAACTCTAGACAGAAGCATTCTCAGAAGCTTCATTGGGATGTTTCAATTGAAGTCACAGTGTTGAACATTCCCTTTCATAGAGCAGGTTTGAAACACTCTTTTTGTAGTATCTGGATGTGGACATTTGGAGCGCTTTCAGGCCTATGGTTTAAAAGGAAATATCTTCCCCTGAAAACTAGACAGAAGCATTCTCAGAAACTTATTTCTGATGTGCGCCCTCAACTAACAGTGTTGAAGCATTCTTTTGATAGAGCAGTTTTGAAACACTCTTTTTGTGGAATCTGCAAGTGGATATTTGTCTAGCTTTGAGGATTTCGATGGAAACGGGATTACATATAAAAAGCAGACAGCAGCATTCTCAGAAACTTATTTGTGATGTGCGCCCTCAACTAACGGTGTTGAACCTTTCTTTTGATAGAGCAGTTTTGAAACACTCTTTTTGTAATATCTGCAAGAGGATATTTGGATAGCTTTGAGGATTTCGTTGGAAACAGGATTGTCTTCATATAAACTCTAGACAGAAGCATTCTGATAAGCTTCATTGGGATGTTTCAATTGAAGTCACAGTGTTGAACAGTCCCTTTCATAGAGCAGGTTTGAAACACTCTTTTTGTAGCATCTGGAAGTGGACATTTGGAGCGTTCTCAGGACTACGGTGAAAAAGGAAATATCTTCCAATAAAAGCTAGATAGAAGCAATGTCAGAAACTTTTTCATGATGTATCTACTCAGCTAACAGAGTTGAACCTTTCTTTTGAGAGAGCAGTTTTGAAAAACTCTTTTTGTGGAATCTGCAAGTGGATATTTGTCTAGCTTTGAGGATTTCGTTGGAAACGGGATTACATATAAAAAGCAGACAGCAGCATTCCCAGAAACTTCTTTGTGATGTTTGCATTCAAGTCACAGAGTTGAACATTCCCTTTCATAGAGCAGGTTTGAAACACTCTTTTTGTAGTATCTGGATGTGGACATTTGGAGCGCTTTCAGGCCTATGGTGAAAAAGGAAATATCTTCCCCTGAAAACTAGACAGAAGCATTCTCAGAAACTTATTTGTGATGTGCGCCCTCAACTAACACTGTTGAACCTTTCTTTTGATAGAGCAGTTTTGAAACACTCTTTTTGTAATATCTGCAAGAGGATATTTGGATAGCTTTGAGGATTTCGTTGGAAACGGGATTGTCTTCATATAAACTCTAGACAGAAGCATTCTCAGAAGCTTCATTGGGATGTTTCAATTGAAGTCACAGTGTTGAACAGTCCCTTTCATAGAGCAGGTTTGAAACACTCTTTTTGTAGTATCTGGAAGTGGACATTTGGAGAGATCTCAGGAATACGGTGATAAAGGAAATATCTTCCAATAAAAGCTAGATAGAAGCAATGTCAGAAACTTTTTCATGATGTACCTACTCAGCTAACAGAGTTGAACCTTTCTTTTGAGAGAGCAGTTTTGAAACACTCTTTTTGTGGAATCTGCAAGTGGATATTTGTCTAGCTTTGAGGATTTCGTTGGAAACGGGATTACATATAAAAAGCAGACAGCAGCATTCCCAGAAACTTCTTTGTGATGTTTGCATTCAAGTCACAGAGTTGAACATTCCCTTTCATAGAGCAGGTTTGAAACACTCTTTTTGTAGTATCTGGATGTGGATATTTGGAGCGCTTTCAGGCCTATGGTGAAAAACGAAATATCTTCCCCTGAAAACTAGACAGAAGCATTCTCAGAAATTTATTTGTGATGTGCGCCCTCAACTAACAGTGTTGAAGCTTTCTTTTGATAGAGCAGTTCTGAAACACTCTTTTTGTAAAATCTGCTAGAGGATATTTGGATAGCTTTGAGGATTTCTTTGGAAACGGGATTGTCTTCATATAAACTCTAGACAGAAGCATTCTCAGAAGCTTCATTGGGATGTTTCAATTGAAGTCACAGTGTTGAACAGTCCCTTTCATAGAGCAGGTTTGAAACACTCTTTTTGTAGTATCTGGATGTGGACATTTGGAGCGCTTTCAGGCCTATGGTGAAAAAGGAAATATCTTCCCCTGAAAACTAGACAGAAGCATTCTCAGAATCTTATTTGTGATGTGCGCCCTCAACTAACAGTGTTGAAGCTTTCTTTTGATAGAGCAGTTTTGAAACACTCTTTTTGTGGAATCTGCAAGTGGATATTTGTCTAGCTTTGAGGATTTCGTTGGAAACGGGATTACATATAAAAAGCAGACAGCAGCATTCTCAGTAAACTTATTTGTGATGTGCGCCCTCAACTAACAGTGTTGAACCTTTCTTTTGATAGAGCAGTTTTGAAACACTCTTTTTGTAATATCTGCAAGAGGATATTTGGATAGCTTTGAGGATTTCGTTGGAAACGGGATTGTCTTCATATAAACTCTAGACAGAAGCATTCTCAGAAGCTTCATTGGGATGTTTCAATTGAAGTCACAGTGTTGAACAGTCCCTTTCATAGAGCAGGTTTGAAACACTCTTTTTGTAGTATCTGGAAGTGGACATTTGGAACGCTCTCAGGACTGCGGTGAAAAAGGAAATATCTTCCAATAAAAGCTAGATAGAAGCAATGTCAGAAACTTTTTCATGATGTATCTACTCAGCTAACAGAGTTGAACCTTCCTTTGAGAGAGCAGTTTTGAAACACTCTTTTTGTGGAATCTGCAAGTGGATATTTGCCTAGCTTTGAGGATTTCGTTGGAAACGGGATTACATGTAAAAAGCAGACAGCAGCATTCCCAGAAACTTCTTTGTGATGTTTGCATTCAAGTCACAGAGTTGAACATTCCCTTTCATAGAGCAGGTTTGAAACACTCTTTTTGTAGTATCTGGATGTGGACATTTGCAGCGCTTTCAGGCCTAAGGTGAAAAAGGAAATATCTTCCCCTGAAAACTAGACAGAAGCATTCTCAGAATCTTATTTGTGATGTGCGCCCTCAACTAACAGTGTTGAAGCTTTCTTTTGATAGAGCAGTTTTGAAACACTTTTTTGTAAAATCTGCAAGAGGATATTTGGATAGCTTTGAGGATTTCGTTGGAAACGGGATTGTCTTCATATAAACTCTAGACAGAAGCATTCTCAGAAGCTTCATTGGGATGTTTCAATTGAAGTCACAGTATTGAACAGTCCCTTTCATAGAGCAGGTTTGAAACACTCTTTTTGTAGTATCTGGATGTGGACATTTGGAGCGCTTTCAGGCCTATGGTTTGAAAGGAAATATCTTCCCCTGAAAACTAGACAGAAGCATTCTCAGAAACTTATTTGTGATGTGCGCCCTCAACTAACAGTGTTGAAGCATTCTTTTGATAGAGCAGTTTTGAAACACTCTTTTTGTGGAATCTGCAAGTGGATATTTGTCTAGCTTTGAGGATTTCGCTGTTAACGGGATTACATATAAAAAGCAGACAGCTAAGCATTCTCCGAAACTTATTTGTGATGGGCGCCCTCAACTAACAGTGTTGAAGCTTTCTTTTGATAGAGCAGTTTTGAAACACTCTTTTTGTAATATCTGCAAGAGGATATTTGGATAGCTTTCAGGATTTCGTTGGAAACGGGATTGTCTTCATATAAACTCTAGACATAAGCATTCTCAGAAGCTTCATTGGGATGTTTCAATTGAAGTCACAGTGTTGAACAGTTCCTTTCATAGAACAGGTTTGAAACACTCTTTTTGTAGTATCTGGAAGTGGACATTTGGGGCTCTCTCAGGACTATGGTGAAAAAGGAAATATCTTCCAATAAAAGCTACATAGAACCAATGTCAGAAACTTTTTCATGACGTATCTACTCAGCTAACAGAGGTGAACCTTTCTTTTGAGAGAGCAGTTTTGAAACACTCTTTTTGTGGAATCTGCAAGTGGATATTTGTCTAGCTTTGAGGATTTCGTTGGAAACGGGATTACATATAAAAAGCAGACAGCAGCATTCCCAGAAACTTCTTTGTGATGTTTGCATTCAAGTCACAGAGTTGAACATTCCCTTTCATAGAGCAGGTTTGAAACACTCTTTTTGTAGTATCTGGATGTGGACATTTGGAGTGCTTTCAAGCCTATGGTGAAAAAGGAAATATCTTCCCCTGAAAACTAGACAGAAGCATTCTCAGAATCTTATTTGTGATGTGCGCCCTCAACTAACAGTGTTGAAGCTTTCTTTCGATACAGCAGTTTTGAAAAACTCTTTTTGTAAAATCTGCAAGAGGATATTTGGATAGCTTTGAGGATTTCGTTGGAAACGGGATTGTCTTCATATAAAATCTAGACAGAAGCATTCTCAGAAGCTTCATTGGGATGTTTCAATTGAAGTCACAGTGTTGAACAGTCCCTTTCATAGAGCAGGTTTGAAACACTCTTTTTGTAGCATCTGGAAGTGGACATTTGGAGCGTTCTCAGGACTATGGTGAAAAAGGAAATATCTTCCAATAAAAGCTGGATAGAAGCAATATCAGAAACTTTTTCATGATGTATCTACTCAGCTAACAGAGTTGAACATTTTTTTTGAGAGAGCAGTTTTGAAACACTCTTTTTGTGGAATCTGCAGGTGGATATTTTTCTAGCTTTCAGGATTTCGTTGGAAACGGGATTACATATAAAAAGCAGACAGCAGCATTCCCAGAAACTTCTTTGTGATGTTTGCATTCAAGTCACAGAGTTGAACATTCCCTTTCATAGAGCAGGTTTGAAACAGTCTTTTTGTAGTATATGGATGTGGACATTTGGAGCGCTTTCAGGCCTATGGTGAAAAAGGAAATATCTTCCCCTGAAAACTAGACAGAAGCATTCTCAGAAACTTATTTGTGATGTGCGCCCTCAACTAACAGTGTTGAACCTTTCTTTTGAAAGAGCAGTTTTGAAACACTCTTTTTGTAATATCTGCAAGAGGATATTTGGATAGCTTTGAGGATTTCGTTGGAAACGGGATTGTCTTCATATAGAATCTAGACAGAAGCATTCTCAGAAGCTTCATTGGCATGTTTCAATTGAAGTCACAGTGTTGAACAGTCCCTTTCATAGAGCACGTTTGAAACACTCTTTTTGTAGTATCTGGATGTGGACATTTGGAGCGCTTTCAGGCCTAAGGTTTAAAAGGAAATATCTTCCCCTGAAAACTAGACAGAAGCATTCTCAGAAACTTATTTGTGATGTGCGCCCTCAACTAACAGTGTTGAAGCATTCTTTTGATAGAGCAGTTTTGAAACACTCTTTTTGTGGAATCTGCAAGTAGATATTGTCTAGCTTTGAGGATTTCGTTGGAAACGGGATTACATATAAAAAGCAGACAGCAGCATTCCCAGAAACTTCTTTGTGATGTTTGCATTCAAGTCACAGAGTTGAACATTCCCTTTCATAGAGCAGGTTTGAAACAGTCTTTTTGTAGTATCTGGATGTGGACATTTGGAGCGCTTTCAGGCTTATGGTGAAAAAGGAAATATCTTCCCCTGAAAACTAGACAGAAGCATTCTCAGAAACTTATTTGTGATGTGCGCCCTCAACTAACAGTGTTGAACCTTTCTTTTGATAGAGCAGTTTTGAAACCCTCTTTTTGTAAAATCTGCAAGAGGATATTTGGATAGCTTTGAGGATTTCGTTGGAAACGGGATTGTCTTCATATAAACTCTAGACAGAAGCATTCTCAGAAGCTTCATTGGGATGTTTCAATTGAAGTCACAGAGTTGAACATTCCCTTTCATAGAGCAGGTTTGAAACACTCTTTTTGTAGTATCTGGATGTGGACATTTGGAGCGCTTTCAGGCCTGAGGTGAAAAAGGAAATATCTTCCCCTGAAAACTAGACAGAAGCATTCTCAGAAACTTATTTGTGATGTGCGCCCTCAACTAACAGTGTTGAACCTTTCTTTTGATAGAGCAGTTTTGAAACACTCTTTTTGTAATATCTGCAAGAGGATATTTGGATAGCTTTGAGGATTTCGTTGGAAACGGGATTACATATAAAAAGCAGACAGCTAAGCATTCTCCGAAACTTATTTGTGATGGGCGCCCTCAACTAACAGTGTTGAAGCTTTCTTTTGATAGAGCAGTTTTGAAACACTCTTTTTGTAATATCTGCAAGAGGATATTTGGATAGCTTTCAGGATTTCGTTGGAAACGGGATTGTCTTCATATAAACTCTAGACATAAGCATTCTCAGAAGCTTCATTGGGATGTTTCAACTGAAGTCACAGTGTTGAACAGTCCCTTTCATAGAGCAGGTTTGAAACACTCTTTTTGTAGTATCTGGAAGTGGACATTTGGAGAGATCTCAGGACTACGGTGAAAAAGGAAATATCTTCCAATAAAAGCTAGATAGAAGCAATGTCAGAAACTTTTTCATGATGTATCTACTCAGCTAACAGAGTTGAACCTTTTTTTTGAGAGAGCAGTTTTGAAACACTCTTTTTGTTGGATCTGCAGGTAGATATTTGTCTAGCTTTGAGGATTTCGTTGGAAACGGGATTACATATAAAAAGCAGACAGCAGCATTCCCAGAAACTTCTTTCTGAAATTTGCATTCAAGTCACAGACTTGAACATTCCCTTTCATAGAGCGGGTTTGAAACACTCTTTTTGTAGTATCTGGATGTGGACATTTGGAGCGCTTTCAGGCCTATGGTGAAAAAGGAAATATCTTCCCCTGAAAACTAGACTGAAGCATTCTCAGAAACTTATTTGTGATGTGCGCCCTCAACTAACAGTGTTGAAGCTTTCTTTTGATAGAGCAGTTTTGAAACACTCTTTTTGTAAAATCTGCAAGAGGATATTTGGATAGCTTTGAGGATTTCGTTGGAAACGGGATTGTCTTCATATACAATCTAGACAGAAGCATTCTCAGAAGCTTCATTGGGATGTTTCAATTGAAGTCACAGTGTTGAACAGTCCCTTTCATAGAGCAGGTTTGAAACACTCTTTTTGTAGTATCTGGATGTGGACATTTCGAGCGCTTTCAGGCCTATGGTGAAAAAGGAAATATCTTCCCCTGAAAACTAGACAGAAGCATTCTCAGAAACTTATTTGTGATGTGCGCCCTCAACTAACAGTGTTGAAGCTTTCTTTTGATAGAGCAGTTTTGAAACACTCTTTTTGTGGAATCTGCAAGTGGATATTTGTCTAGCTTTGAGGATTTCGTTGGAAACGGGATTACATATAAAAAGCAGACAGCAGCATTCTCAGAATCTTATTTGTGATGTGCGCCCTCAACTAACAGTGTTGAAGCTTTCTTTTGATAGAGCAGTTTTGAAACACTCTTTTCGTAAAATCTGTAAGAGGATATTTTGATAGCTTTGAGGATTTCGTTGGAAACGGGATTGTCTTCATATAAACTCTAGACAGAAGCATTCTCAGAAGCTTCATTGGGATGTTTCAGTTGAAGTCACAGTGTTGAACAGTCCCTTTCATAGAGCAGGTTTGAAACACTCTTTTTGTAGTATCTGGAAGTGGACATTTGGAGCGCTCTCAGGACTGCGGTGAAAAAGGAAATATCTTCCAATAAAAGCTAGATAGAAGCAATGTCAGAAACTTTTTCATGATGTATCTACTCAGCTAACAGAGTTGAACCTTTCCTTTGAGAGAGCAGTTTTGAAACACTCTTTTTGTGGAATCTGCAAGTGGATATTTGTCTAGCTTTGAGGATTTCGTTGGAAACGGGATTACATATAAAAAGCAGACAGCAGCATTCCCAGAATCTTGTTTGTGATGTTTACATTCAAGACACAGAGTTGAACATTCCCTTTCAGAGAGCAGGTTTGAAACACTCTTTTTGTAGTATCTGGATGTGGACATTTGGAGCGCTTTCAGGCCTATGGTGAAAAAGGAAATATCTTCCCCTGAAAACTAGACAGAAGCATTCTCAGAAACTTATTTGTGATGTGCGCCCTCAACTAACAGTGTTGAACCTTTCTTTTGATAGAGCAGTTTTGAAACACTCTTTTTGTAATATCTGCAAGAGGATATTTGGATAGCTTTGAGGATTTCGTTGGAAACGGGATTGTCTTCATATAAAATCTAGACAGAAGCATTCTCAGAAGCGTCATTGGGATGTTTCAATTGAAGTCACAGTGTTGAACAGTCCCTTTCATAGAGCAGGTTTGAAACACTCTTTTTGTAGTATCTGGATGTGGACATTTGGAGCGCTTTCAGGCCTATGGTTTAAAAGGAAATATCTTCCCCTGAAAACTAGACAGAAGCATTCTCAGAAACTTATTTGTGATGTGCGCCCTCAACTAACAGTGTTGAAGCTTTCTTTTGATAGAGCAGTTTTGAAACACTCTTTTTGTAATATCTGCAAGAGGATATTTGGATAGCTTTGAGGATTTCGTTGGAAACGGGATTAATTATAAAAAGCAGACAGCTAAGCATTCTCCGAAACTTATTTGTGATGGGCGCCCTCAACTAACAGTGTTGAAGCTTTCTTTTGATAGAGCAGTTTTGAAACACTCTTTTTGTAATATCTGCAAGAGGATATTTGGATAGCTTTCAGGATTTCGTTGGAAACGGGATTGTCTTCATATAAACTCTAGACATAAGCATTCTCAGAAGCTTCTTTGGGATGTTTCAATTGAAGTCACAGTGTTGAACAGTTCCTTTCATAGAACAGGTTTGAAACACTCTTTTTGTAGTATCTGGAAGTGGACATTTGGAGCGCTCTCAGGACTATGGTGAAAAAGGAAATATCTTCCAATAAAAGCTACATAGAAGCAATGTCAGAAACTTTTTCATGATGTATCTACTCAGCTAACAGAGTTGAACCTTTCTTTTGAGAGAGCAGTTTTGAAACACTCTTTTTGTGGAATCTGCAAGTGGATATTTGTCTAGCTTTGAGGATTTCGTTGGAAACGGGATTACATATAAAAAGCAGAAAGCAGCATTCCCAGAAACTTCTTTGTGATGTTTGCATTCAAGTCACAGAGTTGAACATTCCCTTTCATAGAGCAGGTTTGAAACACTCTTTTTGTAGTATCTGGATGTGGACATTTGGAGCGCTTTCAGGCCTATGGTGAAAAAGGAAATATCTTCCCCTGAAAACTAGACAGAAGCATTCTCAGAATCTTATTTGTGATGTGCGCCCTCAACTAACAGTGTTGAAGCTTTCTTTTGATAGAGCAGTTTTCAAACACTCTTTTTGTAAAATCTGCAAGAGGATATTTGGATAGCTTTGAGGATTTAATTGGTAACGGGATTGTCTTCATATAAACTCTAGACAGAAGCATTCTCAGTAAGCTTCATTGGGATGTTTCAATTGAAGTTACAGTGTTGAACAGTCCCTTTCATAGAGCAGGTTTCAAACACTCTTTTTGTAGTATCTGGATGTGGACATTTGGAGCGCTTTCAGGCCTATGGTTTAAAAGGAAATATCTTCCCCTGAAAACTAGACAGAAGCATTCTCAGAATCTTATTTGTGATGTGCGCCCTCAACTAACAGTGTTGAAGCTTTCTTTTGATAGAGCAGTTTTGAAACACTCTTTTTGTGGAATCTGCAAGTGGATATTTGTCTAGCTTTGAGGATTTCGTTGGAAACGGGATTACATATACAAAGCAGACAGCAGCATTCCCAGAATCTTCTTTGTGATGTTTGCATTCAAGTCACAGAGTTGAACATTCCCTTTCATAGAGCAGGTTTGAAACACTCTTTTTGTAGTATCTGGATGTGGACATTTGGAGCGCTTTCAGGCCTATGGTGAAAAAGGAAATATCTTCCCCTGAAAACTAGACAGAAGCATTCTCAGAAACTTATTTGTGATGTGCGCCCTCAAATAACAGTGTTGAAGCTTTCTTTTGATAGAGCAGTTTTGAAACACTCTTTTTGTAATATCTGCAAGAGGATATTTGGATAGCTTTGAGGATTTCGTTGGAAAAGGGATTGTCTTCATATAAACTCTAGACAGAAGCATTCTGATAAGCTTCATTGGGATGTATCAATTGAAGTCACAGTGTTGAACAGTCCCTTTCATAGAGCAGGTTTGAAACACTCTTTTTGTAGTATCTGGAATTGGACATTTGGAGCGCTCTCAGGACTACGGTGAAAAAGGAAATATATTCCACTGAAAACTAGACAGAAGCATTCTCAGAAACTTATTTGTGATGTGCGCCCTCAACTAACAGTGTTGAAGCATTCTTTTGATAGAGCAGTTTTGAAACACTCTTTTTCTGGAATCTGCAAGTGGATATTTGTCTAGCTTTGAGGATTTCGTTGGAAACGGGATTACATATAAAAAGCAGACAGCAACATTCTCAGAAACTTATTTGTGATGTGCGCCCTCAACAAACAGTGTTGAACCTTTCTTTTGATAGAGCAGTTTTGATACACTCTTTTTGAAAAATCCGCAAGAGGATATTTGGATAGCTTTGAGGATTTCGTTGGAAACGGGATTGTCTTCATATAGAATCTAGACAGAATCATTCTCAGAAGCTTCATTGGGATGTTTCAATTGAAGTCACAGTGTTGAACAGTCCCTTTCATAGAGCAGATTTGAAACACTCTTTTTGTAGTATCTGGAAGTGGACATTTGGAGCGTTCTCAGGACTACAATGAAAAAGGAAATATCTTCCAATAAAAGCTAGATAGAAGCAATGTCAGAAAATTTTTCATGATGTATCTACTCAGCTAACAGGGTTGAACCTTTCTTTAGAGAGAGCAGTTTTGAAACACTCTTTTTGTGGAATCTGCAAGTGGATATTTGTCTAGCTTTGAGGATTGCGTTGGAAACGGGATTACATATAAAAAGCAGACAGCAGCATTCCCAGAAACTTCTTTGTGATGTTTGCATTCAAGTCACACAGTTGAACATTCCCTTTCATAGAGCAGGTTTGAAACACTCTTTTTGTAGTATCTGGATGTGGACATTTGGAGCGCTTTCAGGCCTATGGTGAAAAAGGAAATATCTTCCCCTGAAAAGTAGACAGAAGCATTCTCAGAATCTTATTTGTGATGTGCGCCCTCAACTAACAGTGTTGAAGCTTTCTTTTGATAGAGCAGTTTTGAAACACTCTTTTTGTAAAATCTGCAAGAGGATATTTGGATAGCTTTGAGGATTTCTTTGGAAACGGGATTGTCTTCATATAAACTCTAGACAGAAGCATTCTCAGAAGCTTCATTGGGATGTTTCAATTGAAGTCACAGTGTTGAACAGTCCCTTTCATAGAGCAGGTTTGAAACACTCTTTTTGTAGTATCTGGATGTGGACATTTCGAGCGCTTTCAGGCCTATGGTGAAAAAGGAAATATCTTCCCCTGAAAACTAGACAGAAGCATTCTCAGAAACTTATTTGTGATGTGCGCCCTCAACTAACAGTGTTGAAGCTTTCTTTTGATAGAGCAGTTTTGAAACACTCTTTTTGTGGAATCTGCAAGTGGATATTTGTCTAGCTTTGAGGATTTCGTTGGAAACGGGATTACATATAAAAAGCAGACAGCAGCATTCTCAGTAAACTTATTTGTGATGTGCGCCCTCAACTAACAGTGTTGAACCTTTCTTTTGATAGAGCAGTTTTGAAACACTCTTTTTGTAATATCTGCAAGAGGATATTTGGATAGCTTTGAGGATTTCGTTGGAAACGGGATTGTCTTCATATAAACTCTAGACAGAAGCATTCTCAGAAGCTTCATTGGGATGTTTCAATTGAAGTCACAGTGTTGAACAGTCCCTTTCATAGAGCAGGTTTGAAACACCCTTTTTGTAGTATCTGGAAGTGGACATTTGGAGCGTTCTCAGGACTAAGGTGAAAAAGGAAATATCTTCCAATAAAAGCTAGATAGAAGCAATGTCAGAAACTTTTTCATGATGTATCTGCTCAGCTAACAGAGTTGAACCTTTCTTTTGAGACAGCAGTTTTGAAACACTCTTTTTGTGGAATCTGCAAGTGGATATTTGTCTAGCTTTGAGGATTTCGTTGGAAACGGGATTACATATAAAAAGCAGACAGCAGCATTCCCAGAACTTCTTTGTGATGTTTGCATTCAAGTCACAGAGTTGAACATTCCCTTTCATAGAGCAGGTTTGAAACACTCTTTTTGTAGTATCTGTATGTGGACATTTGGAGCGCTTTCAGGCCTATGGTGAAAAAGGAAATATCTTCCCCTGAAAACTAGACGGAAGCATTCTCAGAAACTTATTTGTGATGTGCGCCCTCAACTAACAGTGTTGAACTTTTCTTTTGATGGAGCAGTTTTGAAACACTCTTTTTGTAAAATCTGCAAGAGGATATTTGGATAGCTTTGAGGATTTCTTTGGAAACGGGATTGTCTTCATATTAACCCTAGACAGTAGCATTCTCAGAAGCTTCATTGGGATGTTTCAATTGAAGTCACAGTGTTGAACAGTCCCTTTCATAGAACAGGTTTCAAACACTCTTTTTGTAGTATCTGGATGTGGACATTTGGAGCGCTTTCAGGCCTATGGTTTAAAAGGAAATATCTTCCACTGAAAACTAGACAGAAGCATTCTCAGAAACTTATTTGTGATGTGCGCCCTCAACTAACAGTGTTGAAGCATTCCTTTGATAGAGCAGTTTTGAAACACTCTTTTTGTGGAATCTGCAAGTGGATATTTGTCTATCTTTGAGGATTTCGTTGGAAACGGGATTATATATAAAAAGCAGACAGCAGCATTCTCAGTAAACTTATTTGTGATGTGCGCCCTCAACTAACAGTGTTGAACCTTTCTTTTGATAGAGCAGTTTTGAAACACTCTTTTTGTAATATCTGCAAGAGGATATTTGGATAGCTTTGAGGATTTCGTTGGAAACGGGATTGTCTTCATATAAACTCTAGACAGAAGCATTCTCAGAAGCTTCATTGGGATGTTTCAATTGAAGTCACAGTGTTGAACAGTCCCTTTCATAGAGCAGGTTTGAAACACTCTTTTTGTAGTATCTGGAAGTGGACATTTGGAGCGCTCTCAGGACTGCGGTGAAAAAGGAAATATCTTCCAATAAAAGCTAGATAGAAGCAATGTCAGAAACTTTTTCATGATGTATCTACTCAGCTAACAGAGTTGAACCTTTCTTTTGAGAGAGCAGTTTTGAAACACTCTTTTTGTGGAATCTGGAAGTGGATATTTGTCTAGCTTTGAGGATTTCGTTGGAAACGGGATTACATATAAAAAGCAGACAGCAGCATTCCCAGAAACTTCTTTGTGAAGTTTGCATTCAAGTCACAGAGTTGAACATTCCCTTTCATAGAGCAGGTTTGAAACACTCTTTTTGTAGTATCTGGATGTGGACATTTGGAGCGCTTTCAGGCGTATGGTGAAAAAGGAAATATCCTCCCATAAAAACTAGACAGAAGCATTCTCAGAATCTTATTTGTGATGTGCGCCCTCAACTAACAGTGTTGAAGCTTTCTTTTGATAGAGCAGTTTTGAAACACTCTTTTTGTAAAATCTGCAAGAGGATATTTGGATAGCTTTGAGGATTTCGTTGGAAACGGGATTGTCTTCATATAAACTCTAGACAGAAGCATTCCCAGAAACTTCTTTGTGATGTTTGCATTCAAGTCACAGAGTTGAACATTCCCTTTCATAGAGCAGGTTTGAAACACTCTTTTTGTAGTATCTGGATGTGGACATTTGCAGCGCTTTCAGGCCTAAGGTGAAAAAGGAAATATCTTCCCCTGAAAACAAGACAGAAGCATTCTCAGAAACTTATTTGTGATGTGCGCCCTCAACTAACAGTGTTGAAGCTTTCTTTTGATAGAGCAGTTTTGAAACACTCTTTTTGTGGAATCTGGAAGTGGATATTTGTCTAGCTTTGAGGATTTCGTTGGAAACGGGATTACATATAAAAAGCAGACAGCAGCATTCTCAGTAAACTTATTTGTGATGTGCGCCCTCAACTAACAGTGTTGAACCTTTCTTTTGATAGAGCAGTTTTGAAACACTCTTTTTGTAATATCTGCAAGAGGATATTTGGATAGCTTTGAGGATTTCGTTGGAAACGGGATTGTCTTCATATAAACTCTAGACAGAAGCATTCTCAGAAGCTTCATTGGGATGTTTCAATTGAAGTCACAGTGTTGAACAGTCCCTTTCATAGAGCAGGTTTGAAACACTCTTTTTGTAGTATCTGGAAGTGGACATTTGGAGAGATCTCAGGAATACGGTGATAAAGGAAATATCTTCCAATAAAAGCTAGATAGAAGCAATGTCAGAAACTTTTTCATGATGTATCTACTCAGCTAACAGAGTTGAACCTTTCTTTTGAGAGAGCAGTTTTGAAACACTCTTTTTGTGGAAACTGCAAGTGGATATTTCTCTAGCTTTGAGGATTTCGTTGGAAACGGGATTACATATAAAAAGCAGACAGCAGCATTCCCAGAAACTTCTTTGTGACGTTTGCATTCAAGTCACAGAGTTGAACATTCCCTTTCATAGAGCAGGTTTGAAACACTCTTTTTGTAGTATCTGGATGTGGACATTTGGAGCGCTTTCAGGCCTATGGTGAAAAAGGAAATATCTTCCCCTGAAAACTAGACAGAAGCATTCTCAGAATCTTATTTGTGATGTGCGCCCTCAACTAACAGAGTTGAAGCTTTCTTTTGATAGAGCAGTTTTGAAACACTCTTTTTGTAAAATCTGCAAGAGGATATTTGGATAGCTTTGAGGATTTCGTTGGAAACGGGATTGTCTTCATATAAACTCTAGACAGAAGCATTCTCAGAAGCGTCATTGGGATGTTTCAATTGAAGTCACAGTGTTGAACAGTCCCTTTCATAGAGCAGGTTTGAAACACTCTTTTTGTAGTATCTGGATGTGGACATTTGGAGCGCTTTCAGGCCTATGGTTTAAAAGGAAATATCTTCCCCTGAAAACTAGACAGAAGCATTCTCAGAAACTTATTTGTGATGTGCGCCCTCAACTAACAGTGTTGAAGCTTTCTTTTGATAGAGCAGTTTTGAAACACTCTTTTTGTGGAATCTGCAAGTGGATGTTTGTCTAGCTTTGAGGATTTCGTTGGAAACGGGATTACATATAAAAAGCAGACAGCAGCATTCTCAGAAACTTATTTGTGATGTGCGCCCTCAACTAACAGTGTTGAAGCTTTATTTTGATAGAGCAGTTTTGAAACACTCTTTTTGTAATATCTGCAAGAGAATATTTGGATAGCTTTGAGGATTTCGTTGGAAACGGGATTGTCTTCATATAAACTCTAGAAAGAAGCATTCTCAGAAGCTTCATTGGGATGTTTCAATTGAAGTCAAAGTGTTGAACAGTCCCTTTCATAGAGCAGGTTTGAAACACTCTTTTTGCAGCATCTGGAAGTGGACATTTGGAGCATTCTCAGGACTACGGTGAAAAAGGAAATATCTTCCAATAAAGGCTAGATAGAAGCAATGTCAGAAACTTTTTCATGATGTATCTACTCAGCTAACAGAGTTGAACCTTTCTTTTGAGAGAGCAGTTTTGAAACACTCTTTTTGTGTAATCTGAAAGTGGATATTTGTCTAGCTTTGAGGATTTCGTTGGAAACGGGATTACATATAAAAAGCAGACAGCAGCATTCCCAGAAACTTCTTTGTGATGTTTGCATTCAAGTCACAGAGTTGAACATTCCCTTTCAGAGAGCAGGTTTCAAACACTCTTTTTGTAGTATCTGGATGTGGACATTTGGAGCGCTTTCAGGCCTATGGTGAAAAAGGAAATATCTTCCCCTGAAAACTAGACAGAAGCATTCTCAGAATCTTATCTGTGATGTGCGCCCTCAACTAACAGTGTTGAAGCTTTCTTTTGATAGAGCAGTTTTGAAACACTCTTTTCGTAAAATCTGCAAGAGGATATTTTGATAGCTTTGAGGATTTCGTTGGAAACGGGATTGTCTTCATATAAACTCTAGACAGAAGCATTCTCAGAAGCTTCATTGGGATGTTTCAATTGAAGTCACAGTGTTGAACAGTCCCTTTCATAGAGCAGGTTTGAAACACTCTTTTTGTAGTATCTGGATGTGGACATTTGGAGCGCTTTCAGGCCTATGGTTTAAAAGGAAATATCTTCCCCTGAAAACTAGACAGAAGCATTCTCAGAAACTTATTTGTGATGTGCGCCCTCAACTAACAGTGTTGAAGCTTTCTTTTGATAGAGCAGTTTTGAAACACTCTTTTTGTAATATCTGCAAGAGGATATTTGGATAGCTTTGAGGATTTCGTTGGAAACGGGATTAATTATAAAAAGCAGACAGCAGCATTCTCAGCAAACTTATTTGTGATGTGCGCCCTCAACTAACAGTGTGGAACTTTTCTTTTGATAGAGCAGTTTTGAAACACTCTTTTTGTAAAATCTGCAAGAGGATATTTGGATAGCTTTGAGGATTTCGTTGGAAACGGGATTGTCTTCATATAGAATCTAGACAGAAGCATTCTCAGAAGCTTCATTGGGATGTTTCAATTGAAGTCACAATGTTGAACAGTTCCTTTCATAGAACAGGTATGAAACACACTTTTTGTAGTACCTGGAAGTGCACATTTGGAGCGCTCTCAGGACTACGGTGAAAAAGGAAATATCTTCCAATAAAAGCTACATAGAAGCAATGTCAGAAACTTTTTCATGATGTATCTACTCAGCTAACAGAGTTGAACCTTTCCTTTGAGAGAGCAGTTTTGAAACACTCTTTTTGTGGAATCTGCAAGTGGATATTTGTCTAGCTTTGAGGATTTCGTTGGAAACGGGATTACATATAAAAAGCAGACAGCAGCATTCCCAGAAACTTCTTTGTGATGTTTGCATTCAAGTCACAGAGTTGAACATTCCCTTTCAGAGAGCAGGTTTGAAACACTCTTTTTGTAGTATCTGGATGTGGACATTTGGAGCGCTTTCAGGCCTATGGTGAAAAAGGAAATATCTTCCCCTGAAAACTAGACAGAAGCATTCTCAGAAACTTATTTGTGATGTGCGCCCTCAACTAACAATGTTGAACCTTTCTGTTGATAGGGTAGTTTTGAAACACTCTTTTCGTAAAATCTGCAAGAGGATATTTGGATAGCTTTGAGGATTTCGTTGGAAACGGGATTGTCTTCATATTAACCCTAGACAGCAGCATTCTCAGAAGCTTCATTGGGATGTTTCAATTGAAGTCACAGTGTTGAACAGTCCCTTTCATAGAGCAGGTTTGAAACACTCTTTTTGTAGTATCTGGATGTGGACATTTGGAGCGCTTTCAGGCCTATGGTTTAAAAGGAAATATCTTCCCCTGAAAACTAGACAGAAGCATTCTCAGAAACTTATTTGTGATGTGCGCCCTCAACTAACAGTGTTGAAGCTTTCTTTTGATAGAGCAGTTTTGAAACACTCTTTTTGTGGAATCTGCAAGTGGATATTTGTCTAGCTTTGAGGATTTCGTTGGAAACGGGATTACATATAAAAAGCAGACAGCTAAGCATTCTCCGAAACTTATTTGTGATGGGCGCCCTCAACTAACAGTGTTGAAGCTTTCTTTTGATAGAGCAGTTTTGAAACACTCTTTTTGTAATATCTGCAAGAGGATATTTGGATAGCTTTCAGGATTTCGTTGGAAACGGGATTGTCTTCATATAAACTCTAGACATAAGCATTCTCAGAAGCTTCATTGGGATGTTTCAATTGAAGTCACAGTGTTGAACAGTTCCTTTCATAGAACAGGTTTGAAACACTCTTTTTGTAGTATCTGGAAGTGGACATTTGGAGCGCTCTCAGGACTACGGTGAAAAAGGAAATATCTTCCAATAAAAGCTACATAGAAGCAATGTCAGAAACTTTTTCATGATGTATCTACTCAGCTAACAGAGTTGAACCTTTCTTTTGAGAGAGCAGTTTTGAAACACTCTTTTTGTGGAATCTGCAAGTGGATATTTGTCTAGCTTTGAGGATTTCGTTGGAAACGGGATTACATATAAAAAGCAGACAGCAGCATTCCCAGAAACTTCTTTGTGATGTTTGCATTCAAGTCACAGAGTTGAACATTCCCTTTCATAGAGCAGGTTTGAAACACTCTTTTTGTAGTATCTGGTTGTGGACATTTGGAGCGCTTTCAGGCCTACGGTGAAAAAGGAAATATCTTCCCCTGAAAACTAGACAGAAGCATTCTCAGAAACTTATTTGTGAGGTGCGCCCTCAACTAACAGTGTTGAAGCTTTCTTTTGATAGAGCAGTTTTGAAACACTCTTTTTGTAATATCTGCAAGAGGATATTTGGATAGCTTTGAGGATTTCGTTGGAAACGGGATTGTCTTCATATAAACTCTAGACAGAAGCATTCTCAGAAGCGTCATTGGGATGTTTCAATTGAAGTCACAGTGTTGAACAGTCCCTTTCATAGAGCAGGTTTGAAACACTCTTTTTGTAGTATCTGGATGTGGACATTTGGAGCGCTTTCAGGCCTATGGTTTAAAAGGAAATATCTTCCCCTGAAAACTAGACAGAAGCATTCTCAGAAACTTATTTGTGATGTGCGCCCTCAACTAACAGTGTTGAACCTTTCTTTTGATAGAGCAGTTTTGAAACACTCTTTTTGTAATATCTGCAAGAGGATATTTGGATAGCTTTGAGGATTTCGTTGGAAACGGGATTACATATAAAAAGCAGACAGCAGCATTCTCAGAATCTTATTTGTGATGTGCGCCCTCAACTAACAGTGTTGAAGCTTTCTTTTGATGGAGCAGTTTTGGAACACTCTTTTTGTAAAATCTGCAAGAGGATATTTGGATAGCTTTGAGGATTTCGTTGGAAACGGGATTGTCTTCATATAAACTCTAGAAAGAAGCATTCTCAGAAGCTTCATTGGGATGTTTCAATTGAAGTCACAGTGTTGAACAGTCCCTTTCATAGAGCAGGTTTGAAACACTCTTTTTGTAGTATCTGGAAGTGGACATTTGGAGCGTTCTCAGGACTACGGTGAAAAGGGAAATATCTTCCAATAAAAGCTAGATAGAAGCAATGTCAGAAACTTTTTCATGATGTATCTACTCAGCTAACAGAGTTGAACCTTCCTTTGAGAGAGCAGTTTTGAAACACTCTTTTTGTGGAATCTGCAAGTGGATATTTGTCTAGCTTTGAGGATTTCGTTGGAAACGGGATTACATATAAAAAGCAGACAGCGGCATTCCCAGAAACTTCTTTGTGATGTTTGCATTCAAGTCACAGAGTTGAACATTCCCTTTCATAGAGCAGGTTTGAAACACTCTTTTTGTAGTATCTGGATGTGGACTTTTGCAGCGCTTTCAGGCCTAAGGTGAAAAAGGAAATATCTTCCCCTGAAAACTAGACAGAAGCATTCTCAGAATCTTATTTGTGATGTGCGCCCTCAACTAACAGTGTTGAAGCTTTCTTTTGATAGAGTAGTTTTGAAACACTCTTTTTGTAAAATCTGCAAGAGGATATTTGGATAGCTTTGAGGATTTCGTTGGAAACGGGATTGTCTTCATATAAACTACTAGACAGAAGCATTCTCAGAAGCTTCATTGGGATGTTTCAATTGAAGTCACAGTGTTGAACAGTCCCTTTCATAGAGCAGGTTTGAAACACTCTTTTTGTAGTATCTGGATGTGGACATTTGGAGCGCTTTCAGGCCTATGGTGAAAAAGGAAATATCTTCCCCTGAAAACTAGACAGAAGCATTCTCAGAAACTTATTTGTGATGTGCGCCCTCAACTAAGAGTGTTGAAGCATTCTTTTGATAGAGCAGTTTTGAAACACTCTTTTTGTGGAATCTGCAAGTGGATATTTGTCTAGCTTTGAGGATTTCGTTGGAAACGGGATTAATTATAAAAAGCAGACAGCAGCATTCTCAGTAAACTTATTTGTGATGTGCGCCCTCAACTAACAGTGTTGAACCTTTCTTTTGATAGAGCAGTTTTGAAACACTCTTTTTGTAATATCTGCAAGAGGATATTTGGATAGCTTTGAGGATTTCGTTGGAAACGGGATTGTCTTCATATAAACTCTAGACAGAAGCATTCTCAGAAGCTTCATTGGGATGTTTCAATTGAAGTCACAGTGTTGAACAGTCCCTTTCATAGAGCAGGTTTGAAACACTCTTTTTGTAGTATCTGGAAGTGGACATTTGGAGAGATCTCAGGAATACGGTGATAAAGGAAATATCTTCCAATAAAAGCTAGATAGAAGCAATGTCAGAAAATTTTTCATGATGTATCTACTCAGCTAACAGAGTTGAACCTTTCTTTTGAGAGAGCAGTTTTGAAACACTCTTTTTGTGGAATCTGCAAGTGGATATTTGTCTAGCTTTGAGGATTTCGTTGGAAACGGGATTACATATAAAAAGCAGACAGCATCATTCCCAGTAACTTCTTCGTGGTGTTTGCATTCAAGTCACAGAGTTGAACATTCTCTTTCATAGAGCAGGTTTGAAACACTCTTTTTGTAGTATCTGGATGTGGACATTTGGAGCGCTTTCAGGCCTATGGTGAAAAAGGAAATATCTTCCCCTGAAAACTAGACAGAAGCATTCTCAGAATCTTATTTGTGATGTGCGCCCTCAACTAACAGTGTTGAAGCTTTCTTTTGATAGAGCAGTTTTGAAACACACTTTTTGTAAAATCTGCAAGAGGATATTTGGATAGCTTTGAGGATTTCGTTGGAAACGGGATTGTCTTCATATAAACTCTAGACAGAAGCATTCTCAGAAGCGTCATTGGGATGTTTCAATTGAAGTCACAGTGTTGAACAGTCCCTTTCATAGAGCAGGTTTGAAACACTCTTTTTGTAGTATCTGGATGTGGACATTTGGAGCGCTTTCAGGCCTATGGTTTAAAAGGAAATATCTTCCCCTGAAAACTAGACAGAAGCATTCCCAGAAACTTCTTTGTGATGTTTGCATTCAAGACACAGATTTGAACATTCCCTTTCATAGAGCAGGTTTGAAACACTCTTTTTGTAGTATCTGGATGTGGACATTTGGAGCGCTTTCAGGCTTATGGTGAAAAAGGAAATATCTTCCCCTGAAAACTAGACAGAAGCATTCTCAGAATCTTATTTGTTATGTGCGCCCTCAACTAACAGTGTTGAAGCTTTCTTTTGATAGAGCAGTTTTGAAACACTCTTTTTGTAAAATCTGCAAGAGGATATTTGGATAGCTTTGAGGATTTCGTTGGAAACGGGATTGTCTTCATATAAACTCTAGACAGAAGCATTCTCAGAAGCTTCATTGGGATGTTTCAATTGAAGTCACAGTGTTGAACAGTCCCTTTCATAGAGCAGGTTTGAAACACTCTTTTTGTAGTATCTGGAAGTGGACATTTGGAGCGCTCTCAGGACTGCGGTGAAAAAGGAAATATCTTCCAATAAAAGCTACATAGAAGCAATGTCAGAAACTTTTTCATGATGTATCTACTCAGCTAACAGAGTTGAACCTTTCTTTTGAGAGAGCAGTTTTGAAACACTCTTTTTGTGGAATCTGGAAGTGGATATTTGTCTAGCTTTGAGGATTTCGTTGGAAACGGGATTACATATAAAAAGCAGACAGCAGCATTCCCAGTAACTTCTTTGTGATGTTTGCATTCAAGTCACAGTGTTGAACATTCCCTTTCATAGAGCAGGTTGGAAACACTCTTTTTGTAGTATCTGGATGTGGACAATTGGAGCGCTTTCAGGCCTATGGTGAAAAAGGAAATATCTTCCCCAGAAAACTAGACAGAAGCATTCTCAGCAATCTTATTTGTGATGTGCGCCCTCAACTAACAGTGTTGAAGCTTTCTTTTGATAGAGCAGTTTTGAAACACTCTTTTTGTAAAATCTGCAAGAGGATATTTGGATAGCTTTGAGGATTTCGTTGGAAACGGGATTGTCTTCATATAAACTCTAGACAGAAGCATTCTCAGATGCTTCATTGGGATGTTTCAATTGAAGTCACAGTGTTGAACAGTCCCTTTCATAGAGCAGGTTTGAAACACTCTTTTTGTAGTATCTGGATGTGGACATTTGGAGCGCTTTCAGGCCTATGGTGAAAAAGGAAATATCTTCCCCTGAAAACTAGACAGAAGCATTCTCAGAAACTTATTTGTGATGTGCGCCCTCAACTAACAGTGTTGAAGCTTTCTTTTGATAGAGCAGTTTTGAAACACTCTTTTTGTGGAATCTGCAAGTGGATATTTGTCTAGCTTTGAGGATTTCGTTGGAAACGGGATTACATATAAAAAGCAGACAGCAGCATTCTCAGTAAACTTATTTGTGATGTGCGCCCTCAACTAACAGTGTTGAACCTTTCTTTTGATAGAGCAGTTTTGAAACACTCTTTTTGTAATATCTGCAAGAGGATATTTGGATAGCTTTGAGGATTTCGTTGGAAACGGGATTGTCTTCATATAAACTCTAGACAGAAGCATTCTCAGAAATTTCTTTGGGATGTTTCAATTGAAGTCACAGTGTTGAACATTCCCTTTGTTAGAGCAGGTTTGAAACACTCTTCTTGTAGTATCTGGAAGTGGACATTTGGAGCGCTCTCAGGACTACCGTGAAAAAGGAAATATCTTCCAATGAAAGCTAGATAGAAGCAATGTCAGAAAATTTTTCATGATGTATCTACTCAGCTAACAGGGTTGAACCTTTCTTTTGAGAGAGCAGTTTTGAAACACTCTTTTTTGTGGAATCTGCAAGTGGATATTTGTCTAGCTTTGAGGATTGCGTTGGAAACGGGATTACATATAAAAAGCAGACAGCAGCATTCCCAGAAACTTCTTTGTGATATTTGCATTCAAGTCACATACTTGAAGATTCCCTTTCATAGAGCAGGTTTGAAACACTCTTTTTGTAGTATCTGGATGTGGACATTTGGAGCGCTTTCAGGCCTATGGTGAAAAAGGAAATATCTTCCCCTGCAAACTAGATAGAAGAATTCTCAGAATCTTATTTGTGATGTGCGCCCTCAACTAACAGTGTTGAAGCTTTCTTTTGATAGAGCAGTTTTGAAACACTCTTTTTGTAAAATCTGCAAGAGGATATTTGGATAGCTTTGAGGATTTCGTTGGAAACGGGATTGTCTTCATATAAACTCTACACAGAAGCATTCACAGAAGCCTCATTGGGATGTTTCAATTGAAGTCACAGTGTTGAACAGTCCCTTTCATAGAGCAGGTTTGAAACACTCTTTTTGTAGTATCTGGATGTGGACATTTGGAGCGCTTTCAGGCCTATGGTGAAAAAGGAAATATCTTCCTCTGAAAACTAGACAGAAGCATTCTCAGAAACTTATTTGTGATGTGCGCCCTCAACTAACAGTGTTGAAGCTTTCTTTTGATAGAGCAGTTTTGAAACACTCTTTTTGTGGAATCTGCAAGTGGATATTTGTCTAGATTTGAGGATTTCGTTGGAAACGGGATTACATATAAAAAGCAGACAGCAGCATTCCCAGAATCTTGTTTGTGATGTTTGCATTCATGTCACAGAGTTGAACATTCCCTTTCAGAGAGCAGGTTTGAAACACTCTTTTTATAGTATCTGGATGTGGACATTTGGAGCGCTTTCAGGCCTATGGTGAAAAAGGAAATATCTTCTCCTGAAAACTAGACAGAAGCATTCTCAGAATCTTATTTGTGATGTGCGCCCTCAACTAACAGTGTTGAAGCTTTCTTTTGATAGAGCAGTTTTGAAACACTCTTTTCATAAAATCTGCAAGAGGATATTTGGATAGCTTTGAGGATTTCGTTGGAAACGGGATTGTCTTCATATAAACTCTAGACAGAAGCATTCTCAGATGCTTCATTGGGATGTTTCAATTGAAGTCACAGTGTTGAACAGTCCCTTTCATAGAGCAGGTTTGAAACACTCTTTTTGTAGTATCTGGATGTGGACATTTGGAGCGCTTTCAGGCCTATGGTGAAAAAGGAAATATCTTCCCCTGAAAACTAGACAGAAGCATTCTCTGAAACTTATTTGTGATGTGTGTACTCAACTAACAGAATTGAACCATCGTTTTGAAAGAGCAATTTTGAAACACTCTTTTTCTGGAATCTGCAAGTCGATATTTGTCTAGCATTGAGGATTTCGTTGGAAACGGGATTACATATAAAAGCAGACAGCAGCATTCTCAGTAAACTTATTTGTGATGTGCGCCCTCAACTAACAGTGTTGAACCTTTCTTTTGATAGAGCAGTTTTGAAACACTCTTTTTGTAATATCTGCAAGAGGATATTTGGATAGCTTTGAGGATTTCGTTGGAAACGGGATTGTCTTCATATAAACTCTAGACAGAAGCATTCTCAGAAGCTTCATTGGGATGTTTCAATTGAAGTCACAGTGTTGAACAGTTCCTTTCATAGAACAGGTTTGAAACACTCTTTTTGTAGTATCTGGAAGTGGACATTTGGAGCGCTCTCAGGACTACGGTGAAAATGGAAATATCTTCCAATAAAAGCTACATAGAAGCAATGTCAGAAACTTTTTCATGATGTATCTACTCAGCTAACAGAGTTGAACCTTTCTTTTGAGAGAGCAGTTTTGAAACACTCTTTTTGTGGAATCTGCAAGTGGATATTTGTCTAGCTTTGAGGATTTCGTTGGAAACGGGATTACATATAAAAAGCAGACAGCTGCATTCCCAGAAACTTCTTTGTGATGTTTGCATTCAAGTCACAGAGTTGAACATTCCCTTTCATAGAGCAGGCTTGAAACACTCTTTTTGTAGTATCTGGATGTGGACATTTGGAGCGCTTTCAGTCCTATGGTGAAAAAGGAAATATCTTCCCCTGAAAACTAGACAGAAGCATTCTCAGAATCTTATTTGTGATGTGCGCCCTCAAATAACAGTGTTGAAGCTTTCTTTTGAAAGAGCAGTTTTGAAACACTCTTTTTGTAAAATCTGCAAGAGGATATTTGGATAGCTTTGAGGATTTCATTGGAAACGGGATTGTCTTCATATAAACTCTAGACAGAAGCATTCTCAGAAGCTTCATTGGGATGTTTCAATTGAAGTCACAGTGTTGAACAGTCCCTTTCATAGAGCAGGTTTGAAACACTCTTTTTGTAGTATCTGGATGTGGACATTTAGAGCGCTTTCAGGCCTATGGTGAAAAAGGAAATATCTTCCCCTGAAAACTAGACAGAAGCATTCTCAGAATCTTATTTGTGATGTGCGCCCTCAACTAACAGTGTTGAAGCTTTCTTTTGATAGAGCAGTTTTGAAACACTCTTTTTGTAAAATCTGCAAGAGGATATTTGGATAGCTTTGAGGATTTCGTTGGAAACGGGATTACATATAAAAAGCAGACAGCAGCATTCTCAGTAAACTTATTTGTGATGTGCGCCCTCAACTAACAGTGTTGAACCTTTCTTTTGATAGAGCAGTTTTGAAACACTCTTTTTGTAATATCTGCAAGAGGATATTTGGATAGCTTTGAGGATTTCGTTGGAAACGGGATTGTCTTCATATAAACTCTAGACAGAAGCATTCTCAGAAGCTTCATTGGGATGTTTCAATTGAAGTCACAGTTTTGAACAGTCCCTTTCATAGAGCAGGTTTGAAACACTCTTTTTGTAGTATCTGGAAGTGGACATTTGGAGAGATCTCAGGAATACGGTGATAAAGGAAATATCTTCCACTAAAAGCTAGATAGAAGCAATGTCAGAAACTTTTTCATGATGTATCTACTCAGCTAACAGAGTTGAACCTTTCTTTTGAGAGAGCAGTTTTGAAACACTCTTTTTGTGGAATCTGCAAGTGGATATTTGTCTAGCATTGAGGATTTCGTTGGAAACGGGATTACATATAAAAAGCAGACAGCAGCATTCCCAGAAACTTCTTTGTGAAGTTTGCATTCAAGTCACAGAGTTGAACATTCCCTTTCATAGAGCAGGTTTGAAACACTCTTTTTGTAGTATCTGTATGTGGACATTTGGAGCGCTTTCAGGCCTATGGTGAAAAAGGAAATATCTTCCCCTGAAAACTAGACAGAAGCATTCTCAGAATCTTATTTGTGATCGTGCGCCCTCAACTAACAGTGTAGAAGCTTTCTTTTGATAGAGCAGTTTTGAAACACTCTTTTTGTAAAATCTGCAAGAGGATATTTGGTTAGCTTTGAGGATTTCGTTGGAAACGGGATTGTCTTCATATAAACTCTAGACAGAAGCATTCTCAGAAGCTTCATTGGGATGTTTCAATTGAAGTCACAGTGTTGAACAGTCCCTTTCATAGAGCAGGTTTGAAACACTCTTTTTGTAGTATCTGGATGTGGACATTTGGAGCGCTTTCAGGCCTATGGTGAAAAAGGAAATATCTTCCCCTGAAAACTAGACAGAAGCATTCTCAGAAACTTATTTGTGATGTGCGCCCTCAACTAACAGTGTTGAAGCTTTCTTTTGATAGAGCAGTTTTGAAAAACTCTTTTTGTGGAATCTGCAAGTGGATATTTGTCTAGCTTTGAGGATTTCGTTGGAAACGGGATTACATATAAAAAGCAGACAGCAGCATTCTCAGAAACTTATTTGTGATGTGCGCCCTCAACTAACAGTGTTGAAGCTTTCTTTTGATAGAGCAGTTTTGAAACACTCTTTTTGTAATATCTGCAAGAGGATATTTGGATAGCTTTGAGGATTTCGTTGGAAACGGGATTAATTATACAAAGCAGACAGCAGCATTCTCAGAAGCTTCATTGGGATGTTTCAATTGAAGTCACAGTGTTGAACAGTTCCTTTCATAGAACAGGTTTGAAACACTCTTTTTGTAGTATCTGGAAGTGGACATTTGGAGCGCTCTCAGGACTGTGGTGAAAAAGGAAATATCTTCCAATAAAAGCTACATAGATGCAATGTCAGAAACTTTTTCATGATGTATCTACTCAGCTAACAGAGTTGAACCTTTCTTTTGATAGAGCAGTTTTGAAACACTCTTTTTGTAATATCTGCATGAGGATATTTGGATAGCTTTGAGGATTTCGTTGGAAACGGGATTACATATAAAAAGCAGACAGCAGCATTCCCAGAAACTTCTTTGTGATGTTTGCATTCAAGTCACACAGTTGAACATTCCCTTTCATAGAGCAGGTTTGAAACACTCTTTTTGTAGTATCTGGATGTGGACATTTGGAGCGCTTTCAGGCCTATGGTGAAAAAGGAAATATCTTCCCCTGAAAACTAGACAGAAGCATTCTCAGAATCTTATTTGTGATGTGCGCCCTCAAGTAACAGTGTTGAAGCTTTCTTTTGATAGAGCAGTTTTGAAACACTCTTTTTGTAAAATCTGCAAGAGGATATTTGGATAGCTTTGAGGATTTCGTTGGAAACGGGATTGTCTTCATATAAACTCCAGACAGAAGCATTCTCAGAAGCGTCATTGGGATGTTTCAATTGAAGTCACAGTGTTGAACAGTCCCTTTCATAGAGCAGGTTTGAAACACTCTTTTTGTAGTATCTGGATGTGGACATTTGGAGCGCTTTCAGGCCTATGGTTTAAAAGGAAATATCTTCCCCTGAAAACTAGACAGAAGCATTCTCAGAAACTTATTTGTGATGTGCGCCCTCAACTAAGAGTGTTGAAGCATTCTTTTGAGAGAGCAGTTTTGAAACACTCTTTTTGTGGAATCTGCAAGTGGATATTTGTCTAGCTTTGAGGATTTCGTTGGAAACGGGATTACATATAAAAAGCAGACAGCAGCATTCTCAGCAAACTTATTTGTGATGTGCGCCCTCAACTAACAGTGTGGAACTTTTCTTTTGATAGAGCAGTTTTGAAACACTCTTTTTGTAAAATCTGCAAGAGGATATTTGGATAGCTTTGAGGATTTCGTTGGAAACGGGATTGTCTTCATATAGAATCTAGACAGAATCATTCTCAGAAGCTTCATTGGGATGTTTCAATTGAAGTCACAGTGTTGAACAGTCCCTTTCATAGAGCAGATTTGAAACACTCTTTTTGTAGTATCTGGAAGTGGACATTTGGAGCGTTCTCAGGACTACAGTGAAAAAGGAAATATCTTCCAAGAAAAGCTAGATAGAAGCAATGTCAGAAACTTTTTCATGATGTATCTACTCAGCTAACAGAGTTGAACCTTTCTTTTGAGAGAGCAGTTTTGAAACACTCTTTTTTTGGAATCTGCAAGTGGATATTTGTCTAGTTTTGAGGATTTCGTTGGAAACGGGATTACATATAAAAAGCAGACAGCAGCATTCCCAGTAACTTCTTTGTGATGTTTGCATTCAAGTCACAGAGTTGAACATTCCCTTTCATAGAGCAGGTTTGAAACACTCTTTTTGTAGTATCTGGATGTGGACATTTGGAGCGCTTTCAGGCCTATGGTGAAAAAGGAAATATGTTCCCCTGAAAACTAGACAGAAGCATTCTCAGAAACTTATTTGTGATGTGCGCCCTCAACTAACAGTGTTGAAGCTTTCTTTTGATAGAGCAGTTTTGAAACACTCTTTTTGTAATATCTGCAAGAGGATATTTGGATAGCTTTGAGGATTTCGTTGGAAACGGGATTGTCTTCATATAAACTCTAGGCAGAAGCATTCTCAGAAGCTTCATTGGGATGTTTCAATTGAAGTCACAGTGTTGAACAGTTCCTTTCATGGAACAGGTTTGAAACACTCTTTTTGTAGTATCTGGAAGTGGACATTTGGAGCGCTCTCAGGACTACGGTGAAAATGGAAATATCTTCCAATAAAAGCTACATAGAAGCATTCTCAGAAACTTATTTGTGATGTGCACCCTCAACTAACAGTGTTGAACCTTTCTTTTGATAGAGCAGTTTTGAAACACTCTTTTTGTAATATCTGCAAGAGGATATTTGGATAGCTTTGAGGATTTCGTTGGAAACGGGATTACATATAAAAAGCAGACAGCAGCATTCCCAGAATCTTGTTTGTGATGTTTGCATTCAAGTCACAGAGTTGAACATTCCCTTTCAGAGAGCAGGTTTGAAACACTCTTTTTATAGTGTCTGTATTTGGACATTTGGAGCGCTTTCAGGCCTATGGTGAAAAAGGAAATATCTTCTCCTGTAAACTAGACAGAAGCATTCTCAGAAACTTATTTGTGATGTGCGCCCTCAACTAACAGTGTTGAAGCTTTCTTTTGATAGAGCAGTTTTGAAACACTCTTTTTGTAAAATCTGCAAGAGGATATTTGGATAGCTTTGAGGATTTCGTTGGAAACGGGATTGTCTTCATATAAACTCTAGACAGAAGCATTCTCAGAAGCTTCATTGGGATGTTTCAATTGAAGTCACAGTGTTGAACAGTCCCTTTCATAGAGCAGGTTTGAAACACTCTTTTTGTAGTATCTGGAAGTGGACATTTGGAACGCTCTCAGGACTGCGGTGAAAAAGGAAATATCTTCCAATAAAAGCTAGATAGAAGCAATGTCAGAAACTTTTTCATGATGTATCTACTCAGCTAAAAGAGTTGAAACTTTCTTTTGTGAGAGCAGTTTTGAAACACTATTTCTGTGGAATCTGCAAGTGGATATTTGTCTAGGTTTGAGGATTTCGTTGGAAACGGGATTACATATAAAAACAGACAGCAGCATTCCCAGAAACTTCTTTGTGAAATTTGCATTGAAGTCACAGAGTTGAATATTCCCTTTCATAGAGCAGGTTTGAAACACTCTTTTTGTAGTATCTGGATGTGGACATTTGGAGCGCTTTCAGGCCTATGGTGAAAAAGGAAATATCTTCCCCTGAAAACTATACAGAAGCATTCTCAGAAACTTATTTGTGATGTGCGCCCTCAACTAACAGTGTTGAACCTTTCTTTTGATAGAGCAGTTTTGAAACACTCTTTTTGTAAAATCTGCAAGAGGATATTTGGATAGCTTTGAGGATTTCGTTGGAAACGGGATTGTCTTCATATAGAATCTAGACAGAAGCATTCTCAGAATCTTCATTGGGATGTTTCAATTGAAGTCACAGTGTTGAACAGTCCCTTCCATAGAGCAGGTTTGAAACACTCTTTTTGTAGTATCTGGATGTGGACATTTGGAGCGCTTTCAGGCCTATGGTGAAAAAGGAAATATCTTCCTCTGAAAACTAGACAGAAGCATTCTCAGAAACTTATTTGTGATGTGCGCCTTCAACTAACAGTGTTGAAGCATTCTTTTGACAGAGCAGTTTTGAAACACTCTTTTTGTGGAATCTGCAAGTGGATATTTGTCTAGCTTTGAGGATTTCGTTGGAAACGGGATTACATATAAAAAGCAGACAGCAGCATTCTCAGTAAACTTATTTGTGATGTGCGCCCTCAACTAACAGTGTTGAACCTTTCTTTTGATAGAGCAGTTTTGAAACACTCTTTTTGTAATATCTGCAAGAGGATATTTGGATAGCTTTGAGGATTTCGTTGGAAACGGGATTGTCTTCATATAAACTCTAGACAGAAGCATTCTCAGAAGCTTCATTGGGATGTTTCAATTGAAGTCACAGTGCTGAACAGTTCCTTTCATAGAACAGGTTTGAAACACTCTTTTTGTAGTATCTGGAAGTGGACATTTGGAGCGCTCTCAGGACTATGGTGAAAAAGGAAATATCTTCCAATAAAAGCTACATAGAAGCAATGTCAGAAACATTTTCATGATGTATCTACTCAGCTAACAGAGTTGAACCTTTCTTTTGAGAGATCAGTTTTGAAACACTCTTTTTGTGGAATCTGCAAGTGGATATTTGTCTAGCTTTGAGGATTTCGTTGGAAACGGGATTACATATAAAAAGCAGACAGCAGCATTCCCAGTAACATCTTTGTGATGTTTGCATTCAAGTCACAGAGTTGAACATTCCCTTTCATAGAGCAGGTTTGAAACACTTTTTTTGTAGTATCTGGATGTGGACATTTGGAGCGCTTTCAGGCCTATGGTGAAAAAGGAAATATCTTCCAATAAAAGCTACATAGAAGCATTCTCAGAAACTTATTTGTGATGTGCGCCCTCAACTAACAGTGTTGAACCTTTCTTTTGATAGAGCAGTTTTGAAACACTCTTTTTGTAAAATCTGCAAGAAGATATTTGGATAGCTTTGAGGATTTCGTTGGAAACGGGATTCTCTTCATATAAACTCTAGACAGAAGCATTCTCAGAAGCTTCATTAGATGTTTCAATTGAAGTTACAGTGTTGAACAGTCCCTTTCATAGAGCAGGTTTGAAACACTCTTTTTGTAGTATCTGGATGTGGACATTTGGAGCGCTTTCAGGCCTGTGGTTTAAAAGGAAATATCTTCCCCTGAAAACTAGACAGAAGCATTCTCAGAAACTTATTTGTGATGTGCGCCCTCAACTAACAGTGTTGAAGCTTTCTTTTGATAGAGCAGTTTTGAAACACTCTTTTTGTGGAATCTGCAAGTGGATATTTGTCTAGCTTTGAGGATTTCGATGGAAACGGGATTACATATAAAAAGCAGACAGCAGCATTCTCAGAAACTTATTTGTGATGTGCGCCCTCAACTAACAGTGTTGAAGCTTTATTTTGATAGAGCAGTTTTGAAACACTCTTTTTGTAATATCTGCAAGAGAATATTTGGATAGCTTTGAGGATTTCGTTGGAAACGGGATTGTCTTCATATAAACTCTAGAAAGAAGCATTCTCAGAAGCTTCATTGGGATGTTTCAATTGAAGTCACAGTGTTGAACAGTCCCTTTCATAGAGCAGGTTTGAAACACTCTTTTTGTAGGATCTGGAAGTGGACATTTGGAGAGATCTCAGGAATACGGTGATAAAGGAAATATCTTCCAATAAAAGCTAGATAGAAGCAATGTCAGAAACTTTTTCATGATGTATCTACTCAGCTAACAGAATTGAACCTTTCTTTTGAGAGAGCAGTTTTGAAACACTCTTTTTGTGGAATCTGCAAGTGGATATTTGTCTAGCTTTGAGGATTTCGTTGGAAACGGGATTACATATAAAAAGCAGACAGCCAGCATTCCCAGAATCTTGTTTGTGATGTTTGCATTCAAGTCACAGAGTTGAACATTCCCTTTCAGAGAGCAGGTTTGAAACACTCTTTTTGTAGTATCTGGATGTGGACATTTGGAGCGCTTTCAGGCCTATGGTGAAAAAGGAAATATCTTCCCCTGAAAACTAGACAGAGCATTCTCAGAAGCTTCATTGGGATGTTTCAATTGAAGTCACAGTGTTGAACAGTCCCTTTCATAGAGCAGGTTTGAAACACTCTTTTTGTAGTATCTGGAAGTGGACAATTGGAGCGCTCTCAGGACTGCGGTGAAAAAGGAATTATCTTCCAATAAAAGCTAGATAGAAGCAATGTCAGAAACTTTTTCATGATGTATCTACTCAGCTAACAGAGTTGAACCTTTCCTTTGAGAGAGCAGTTTTGAAACACTGTTTTTGTGGAATCTGCAAGTGGATATTTGTCTAGCTTTGAGGATTTCGTTGGAAACGGGATTACATATAAAAAGCAGACAGCAGCATTCCCAGTAACTTCTTTGTGATGTTTGCATTCAAGTCAGAGAGTTGAACATTCCCTTTCATAGAGCAGGTTTGAAACACTCTTTTTGTAGTATCTGGATGTGGACATTTGGAGCGCTTTCAGGCCTATGGTGAAAAAGGAAATATCTTCCCCTGAAAACTAGACAGAAGCATTCTCAGAAACTTATTTGTGATGTGCGCCCTCAACTAACAGTGTTGAACCTTGCTTTTGATAGAGCAGTTTTGAAACACTCTTTTTGTAATATCTGCAAGAGGATATTTGGATAGCTTTAAGGATTTCGTTGGAAACGGGATTGTCTTCATATAAACTCTAGACAGAAGCATTCTCAGAAGCTTCATTGGGATGTTTCAATTGAAGTCACAGTGTTGAACAGTCCCTTTCATAGAGCAGGTTTGAAACACTCTTTTTGTAGTATCTGGAAGTGGACATTTGGAGCGCTCTCAGGACTACGGTGAAAAAGGAAATATCTTCCAATAAAAGCTACATAGAAGCAATGTCAGAAACTTTTTCATGATGTATCTACTCAGCTAACAGAGTTGAAACTTTCTTTTGAGAGAGCAGTTTTGAAACACTCTTTTTGTGGAATCTGGAAGTGGATATTTGTCTAGCTTTGAGGATTTCGTTGGAAACGGGATTAAATATAAAAGGCAGACAGCAGCATTCCCCGAAACTTCTTTGTGTTGTTTGCATTCAAGTCACAGATTTGAACATTCCCTTTCATAGAGCAGGTTTGAAACACTCTTTTTGTAGTATCTGGATGTGGACATTTTGAGCGCTTTGAGGCCTATGGTGAAAAAGGAAATCTCTTCCCCTGAAAACTAGACAGAAGCATTCTCAGAAACTTATTTGTGATGTGCGCCCTCAACTAACAGTGTTGAAGCTTTCTTTTGATAGAGCAGTTTTGAAACACTCTTTTTGTAATATCTGCAAGAGGATATTTGGATAGCTTTGAGGATTTCGTTGGAAACGGGATTGTCTTCATATAAACTCTAGGCAGAAGCATTCTCAGAAGCTTCATTGGGATGTTTCAATTGAAGTCACAGTGTTGAACAGTCCCTTTCATAGAGCAGGTTTGAAACACTCTTTTTGTAGTATCTGGAAGTGGACATTTGGAGCGCTCTCAGGACTACGGTGAAAAAGGAAATATCTTCCCCTGAAAACTAGACAGAAGCATTCTCAGAAACTTATTTGTGATGTGCGCCCTCAACTAACAGTGTTGAACCTTTCTTTTGAGAGAGCAGTTTTGAAACACTCTTTTTGTGGAATCTGCAAGTGGATATTTGTCTAGCTTTGAGGATTTCGTTGGAAACGGGATTACATATAAAAAGCAGACAGCTAAGCATTCTCCGAAACTTATTTGTGATGGGCGCCCTCAACTAACAGTGTTGAAGCTTTCTTTTGATAGAGCAGTTTTGAAACACTCTTTTTGTAATATCTGCAAGAGGATATTTGGATAGCTTTCAGGATTTCGTTGGAAACGGGATTGTCTTCATATAAACTCTAGACATAAGCATTCTCAGAAGCTTCATTGGGATGTTTCAATTGAAGTCACAGTGTTGAACAGTCCCTTTCATAGAGCAGGTTTGAAACACTCTTTTTGTAGTATCTGGAAGTGGACATTTGGAGAGATCTCAGGAATACGGTGATAAAGGAAATATCTTCCAATAAACGCTACATAGAAGCAATGTCAGAAACTTTTTCATGATGTATCTACTCAGCTAACAGAGTTGAACCTTTCTTTTGAGAGAGCAGTTTTGAAACACTCTTTTTGTGGAATCTGCAAGTGGATATTTGTCTAGCTTTGAGGATTTCGTTGGAAACGGGATTACATATAAAAAGCAGACAGCAGCATTCCCAGAAACTTCTTTGTGTTGTTTGCATTCAAGTCACAGAGTTGAACATTCCCTTTCATAGAGCAGGTTTGAAACACTCTTTTTGTAGTATCTGGATGTGGACATTTGCAGCGCTTTCAGGCCTAAGGTGAAAAAGGAAATATCTTCCCCTGAAAACTAGACAGAAGCATTCTCAGAAACTTATTTGTGATGTGCGCCCTCAACTAACAGTGTTGAAGCTTTCTTTTGATAGAGCAGTTTTGAAACACTCTTTTTGTAATATCTGCAAGAGGATATTTGGATAGCTTTGAGGATTTCGTTGGAAACGGGATTGTCTTCATATAAACTCTAGGCAGAAAGCATTCTCAGAAGCTTCATTGGGATGTTTCAATTGAAGTCACAGTGTTGAACAGTCCCTTTCATAGAGCAGGTTTGAAACACTCTTTTTGTAGTATCTGGATGTGGACATTTGGAGCGCTTTCAGGCCTATGGTGAAAAAGGAAATATCTTCCCCTGAAAACTAGACAGAAGCATTCTCAGAAACTTATTTGTGATGTGCGCCCTCAACTAACAGTGTTGAAGCTTTCTTTTGATAGAGCAGTTTTGAAACACTCTTTTTGTGGAATCTGCAAGTGGATATTTGTCTAGCTTTGAGGATTTCGTTGGAAACGGGATTACATATAAAAAGCAGACAGCAGCATTCTCAGAAACTTATTTGTGATGTGCGCCCTCAACTAACAGTGTTGAAGCTTTCTTTTGATAGAGCAGTTTTGAAACACTCTTTTTGTAATATCTGCAAGAGGATATTTGGATAGCTTTGAGGATTTCGTTGGAAACGGGATTAATTATACAAAGCAGACAGCAGCATTCTCAGAAGCTTCATTGGGATGTTTCAATTGAAGTCACAGTGTTGAACAGTACCTTTCATAGAGCAGGTTTGAAACACTCTTTTTGTAGTATCTGGAATTGGACATTTGGAGAGATCTCAGGAATACGGTGATAAAGGAAATATCTTCCAATAAAAGCTAGATAGAAGCAATGTCAGAAACTTTTTCATGATGTATCTACTCAGCTAACAGAGTTGAACCTTTCTTTTGAGAGAGCAGTTTTGAAACACTCTTTTTGTGGAATCTGCAAGTGGATATTTGTCTAGCATTGAGGATTTCGTTGGAAACGGGATTACATATAAAAAGCAGACAGCAGCATTCCCAGAAACTTCTTTTGTGATGTTTGCATTCAAGTCACAGAGTTGAACACTCCCTTTCATAGAGCAGGTTTGAAACACTCTTTTTGTAGTATCTGGATGTGGACATTTGCAGCGCTTTCAGGCCTAAGGTGAAAAAGGAAATATCTTCCCCTGAAAACTAGACAGAAGCATTCTCAGAAACTTATTTGTGATGTGCGCCCTCAACTAACAGTGTTGAAGCTTTCTTTTGATAGAGCAGTTTTGAAACACTCTTTTTGTAATATCTGCAAGAGGATATTTGGATAGCTTTGAGGATTTCGTTGGAAACGGGATTGTCTTCATATAAACTCTAGGCAGAAGCATTCTCAGAAGCTTCATTGGGATGTTTCAATTGAAGTCACAGTGTTGAACAGTCCCTTTCATAGAGCAGGTTTGAAACACTCTTTTTGTAGTATCTGGATGTGGACATTTGGAGCGCTTTCAGGCCTATGGTGAAAAAGGAAATATCTTCCCCTGAAAACTAGACAGAAGCATTCTCAGAAACTTATTTGTGATGTGCGCCCTCAACTAACAGTGTTGAAGCATTCTTTTGATAGAGCAGTTTTGAAACACTCTTTTTGTGGAATCTGCAAGTGGATATTTGTACTAGCTTTGAGGATTTCGTTGGAAACGGGATTACATATAAAAAGCAGACAGCTAAGCATTCTCCGAAACTTATTTGTGATGGGCGCCCTCAACTAACAGTGTTGAAGCTTTCTTTTGATAGAGCAGTTTTGAAACACTCTTTTTGTAATATCTGCAAGAGGATATTTGGATAGCTTTCAGGATTTCGTTGGAAACGGGATTGTCTTCATATAAACTCTAGACATAAGCATTCTCAGAAGCTTCATTGGGATGTTTCAATTGAAGTCACAGTGTTGAACAGTCCCTTTCATAGAGCAGGTTTGAAACACTCTTTTTGTAGTATCTGGAAGTGGACATTTGGAACGCTCTCAGGACTGCGGTGAAAAAGGAAATATCTTCCAATAAAAGCTAGATAGAAGCAATGTCAGAAACTTTTTCATGATGTACCTACTCAGCTAACAGAGTTGAACCTTTCTTTTGAGAGAGCAGTTTTGAAACACTCTTTTTGTGGAATCTGCAAGTGGATATTTGTCTAGCTTTGAGGATTTCGTTGGAAACGGGATTACATATAAAAAGCAGACAGCAGCATTCCCAGAAACTTCTTTGTGATGTTTGCATTCAAGTCACAGAGTTGAACATTCCCTTTCATAGAGCAGGTTTGAAACACTCTTTTTGAAGTATCTGGATGTGGATATTTGGAGCGCTTTCAGGCCTATGGTGAAAAAGGAAATATCTTCCCCTGAAAACTAGACAGAAGCATTCTCAGAAACTTATTTGTGATGTGCGCCCTCAACTAACAGTGTTGAACCTTTCTTTTGATAGAGCAGTTTTGAAACACTCTTTTTGTAATATCTGCAAGAGGATATTTGGATAGCTTTGAGGATTTCGTTGGAAACGGGATTGTCTTCATATAAACTCTAGACAGAAGCATTCTCAGAAGCTTCATTGGGATGTTTCAATTGAAGTCACAGTGTTGAACAGTCCCTTTCATAGAGCAGGTTTGAAACACTCTTTTTGTAGTATCTGGATGTGGACATTTGGAGCGCTTTCAGGCCTATGGTGAAAAAGGAAATATCTTCCCCTGAAAACTAGACAGAAGCATTCTCAGAAACTTATTTGTGATGTGCGCCCTCAACTAACAGTGTTGAACCTTTCTTTTGATAGAGCAGTTTTGAAACACTCTTTTTGTAATATCTGCAAGAGGATATTTGGATAGCTTTGAGGATTTCGTTGGAAACGGGATTACATATAAAAAGCAGACAGCTAAGCATTCTCCGAAACTTATTTGTGATGGGCGCCCTCAACTAACAGTGTTGAAGCTTTCTTTTGATAGAGCAGTTTTGAAACACTCTTTTTGTAATATCTGCAAGAGGATATTTGGATAGCTTTCAGGATTTCGTTGGAAACGGGATTGTCTTCATATAAACTCTAGACATAAGCATTCTCAGAAGCTTCATTGGGATGTTTCAATTGAAGTCACAGTGTTGAACAGTCCCTTTCATAGAGCATGTTTGAAACACTCTTTTTGTAGTATCTGGAAGTTGACATTTGGAGCGTTTTCAGGACTACGGTGAAAAAGGAAATATCTTCCAAATAAAGCTAGATAGAAGAAATGTCAGAAAATTTTTGATGATGTATCTACTCAGCTAACAGAATTTAACCTTTCTTTTGAGAGAGCAGTTTTGAAACACTCTTTTTGTGGAATCTGCAAGTGGATATTTGTCTAGGTTTGAGGATTTCGTTGGAAACGGGATTACATATAAAAAGCAGACAGCAGCATTCCCAGCAAACTTCTTTGTGATATTTGCATTCAAGTCACAGACTTGAACATTCCCTTCCATAGAGCGGGTTTGAAACACTCTTTTTGTAGTATCTGGATGTGGACATTTGGAGCGCTTTCAGGCCTATGGTGAAAAAGGAAATATCTTCCCCTGAAAACTAGACAGTAGCATTCTCAGAAACTTATTTGTGATGTGCGCCCTCAACTAACAGTGTTGAACCTTTCTTTTGATAGAGCAGTTTTGAAACACTCTTTTTGTAATATCTGCAAGAGGATATTTGGATAGCTTTGAGGATTTCGTTGGAAACGGGATTGTCTTCATATAAACTCTAGACAGAAGCATTCTCAGAAGCTTCATTGGGATGTTTCAATTGAAGTCACAGTGTTGAACAGTCCCTTTGATAGAGCAGGTTTGAAACACTCTTTTTGTAGTATCTGGATGTGGACATTTGCAGCGCTTTCAGGCATAAGGTGAAAAAGGAAATATCTTCCCCTGAAAACTAGACAGAAGCATTCTCAGAAACTTATTTGTGATGTGCGCCTTCAACTAACAGTGTTGAAGCATTCTTTTGATAGAGCAGTTTTGAAACACTCTTTTTGTGGAATCTGCAAGTGGATATTTGTCTAGCTTTGAGGATTTCGTTGGAAACGGGATTACATATAAAAAGCAGACAGCAGCATTCTCAGTAAACTTATTTGTGATGTGCGCCCTCAACTAACAGTGTTGAACCTTTCTTTTGATAGAGCAGTTTTGAAACACTCTTTTTGTAATATCTGCAAGAGGATATTTGGATAGCTTTGAGGATTTCGTTGGAAACGGGATTGTCTTCATATAAACTCTAGACAGAAGCATTCTCAGAAGCTTCATTGGGATGTTTCAATTGAAGTCACAGTGTTGAACAGTCCCTTTCATAGAGCAGGTTTGAAACACTCTTTTTGTAGCATCTGGAAGTGGACATTTGGAGCGCTCTCAGGACTACGGTGAAAAAGGAAATATCTTCCAATAAAAGCTAGATAGAAGCAATGTCAGAAACTTTTTCATGATGTATCTACTCAGCTAACAGAGTTGAACCTTTCCTTTGAGAGAGCAGTTTTGAAACACTCTTTTTGTGGAATCTGCAAGTGGATATTTGTCGAGCTTTGAGGATTTCGTTGGAAACGGGATTACATATAAAAAGCAGACAGCAGCATTCCCAAAAACTTCTTTGTGATGTTTGCATTCAAGTCACAGAGTTGAACATTCCCTTTCATAGAGCAGGTTTGAAACACTCTTTTTGTAGTATCTGGATGTGGACATTTGGAGCGCTTTCAGGCCTATGGTGAAAAAGGAAATATCTTCCCCTGAAAACTAGACAGAAGCATTCTCAGAAACTTATTTGTGATGTGCGCCCTCAACTAACAGTGTTGAAGCTTTCTTTTGATAGAGCAGTTTTGAAACACTCTTTTTGTAATATCTGCAAGAGGATATTTGGATAGCTTTGAGGATTTCGTTGGAAACGGGATTGTCTTCATATAAACTCTAGACAGAAGCATTCTCAGAAGCTTCATTGGGATGTTTCAATTGAAGTCACAGTGTTGAACAGTCCCTTTCATAGAGCAGGTTTGAAACACTCTTTTTGTAGTATCTGGATGTGGACATTTGGAGCGCTTTCAGGCCTATGGTGAAAAAGGAAATATCTTCCCCTGAAAACTAGACAGAAGCATTCTCAGAAACTTATTTGTGATGTGCGCCCTCAACTAACAGTGTTGAAGCTTTCTTTTGATAGAGCAGTTTTGAAAAACTCTTTTTGTGGAATCTGCAAGTGGATATTTGTCTAGCTTTGAGGATTTCGTTGGAAACGGGATTACATATAAAAAGCAGACAGCAGCATTCTCAGTAAACTTATTTGTGATGTGCGCCCTCAACTAACAGTGTTGAACCTTTCTTTTGATAGAGCAGTTTTGAAACACTCTTTTTGTAATATCTGCAAGAGGATATTTGGATAGCTTTGAGGATTTCGTTGGAAACGGGATTGTCTTCATATAAACTCTAGACAGAAGCATTCTCAGAAGCTTCATTGGGATGTTTCAATTTAAGTCACAGTGTTGAACAGTCCCTTTCATAGAGCAGGTTTGAAACACTGTTTTTGTAGCATCTGGAAGTGGACATTTGGAGCGTTCTCAGGACTATGGTGAAAAAGGAAATATCTTCCAATAAAAGCTAGATAGAAGCAATGTCAGAAACTTTTTCATGATGTATCTACTCAGCTAAAAGAGTCGAACCTTTCTTTTGAGAGAGCAGTTTTGAAACACTATTTTTGTGGAAACTGCAAGTGGATATGTGTCTACCTTTGAGGATTTCGTTGGAAACGGGATTACATATAAAATCAGACAGCAGCATTCCCAGAAACTTCTTTGTGATGTTTGCATTCAAGTCACAGAGTTGAACATTCCCTTTCATAGAGCAGGTTTGAAACACTCTTTTTGTATTATCTGGATGTGGACATTCGGAGCGCTTTCAGGCCTATGGTGAAAAAGGAAATATCTTCCCCTGAAAACTAGACAGAAGCATTCTCAGAATCTTATTTGTGATGTGCGCCCTCAACTAACAGTGTTGAAGCTTTCTTTTGATAGAGCAGTTTTGAAACACTCTTTTTGTAAAATCTGCAAGAGGATATTTGGATAGCTTTGAGGATTTCGTTGGAAACGGGATTGTCTTCATATAAACTCTAGACAGAAGCATTCTCAGAAGCTTCATTGGGATGTTTCAACTGAAGTCACAGTGTTGAACAGTCCCTTTCATAGAGCAGGTTTGAAACACTCTTTTTGTAGTGTCTGGAAGTGGACATTTGGAGCACTCTCAGGACTGCGGTGAAAAAGGAAATATCTTCCAATAAAAGCTAGATAGAAGCATTCTCAGAAACTTATTTCTGATGTGCCCCCTCAACTAACAGTGTTGAAGCTTTCTTTTGATAGAGCAGTATTGAAACACTCTTTTTGTGGAATCTGCAAGTGGATATTTGTCTAGCTTTGCGGATTTCGTTGGAAACGGGATTACATATAAAAAGCAGACAGCAGCATTCTCAGAAACTTATTTGTGATGTGCGCCCTCAACTAACAGTGTTGAAGCTTTCTTTTGATAGAGCAGTTTTGAAACACTCTTTTTGTAATATCTGCAAGAGGATATTTGGATAGCTTTGAGGATTTCGTTGGAAACGGGATTAATTATACAAAGCAGACAGCAGCATTCTCAGAAGCTTCATTGGGATGTTTCAATTGAAGTCACAGTGTTGAACAGTCCCTTTCATAGAGTAGGTTTGAAACACCCTTTTTCGTAGGATCTGGAAGTGGACATTTGGAGAGATCTCAGGAATACGGTGACAAAGGAAATATCTTCCAATAAAAGCTAGATAGAAGCAATGTCAGAAACTTTTTCATGATGTATCTACTCAGCTAACAGAGTTGAACCTTTCTTTTGAGAGAGCAGTTTTGAAACACTCTTTTTGTGGAATCTGCAAGTGGATATTTGTCTAGCTTTGAGGATTTCGTTGGAAACGGGATTACATATAAAAAGCAGACAGCAGCATTCCCAGAAACTTCTTTGTGATGTTTGCATTCAAGTCACACAGTTGAACATTCCCTTTCATAGAGCAGGTTTGAAACACTCTTTTTGTAGTATCTGGATGTGGACATTTGGAGCGCTTTCAGGCCTATGGTGAAAAAGGAAATATCTTCCCCTGAAAACTAGACAGAAGCATTCTCAGAATCTTATTTGTGATGTGCGCCCTCAACTAACAGTGTTGAAGCTTTCTTTTGATAGAGCAGTTTTGAAACACTCTTTTTGTAAAATCTGCAAGAGGATATTTGGATAGCTTTGAGGATTTCGTTGGAAACGGGATTGTCTTCATATAAACTCTAGACAGAAGCATTCTCAGAAGCTTCATTGGGATGTTTCAATTGAAGTTACAGTGTTGAACAGTCCCTTTCATAGAGCAGGTTTGAAACACTCTTTTTGTAGTATCTGGATGTGGACATTTGGAGCGCTTTCAGGCCTATGGTTTAAAAGGAAATATCTTCCCCTGAAAACTAGACAGAAGCATTCTCAGAAACTTATTTGTGATGTGTGTACTCAACTAACAGAATTGAACCATCGTTGTGGAAGAGCAGTTTGGAAACACTCTTTTTGTGGAATCTGCAAGTGGATATTTGTCTAGCTTTGAGGATTTCGTTGGAAACGGGATTACATATAAAAAGCAGGCCGCAGCATTCCCAGAAACTTCTTTGTGACGGTTGCATTCAAGTCACAGAGTTGAACATTCCCTTTCATAGAGAAGGTTTGAAACACTCTTTTTGTAGTATCTGGATGTGGACATTTGGAGCGCTTTCAGGCCTATGGTGAAAAAGGAAATATCTTCCCCTGAAAACTAGACAGAAGAATTCTCAGAATCTTATTTGTGATGTGCGCCCTCAACTAACAGTGTTGAAGCTTTCTTTTGATAGAGCAGTTTTGAAACACTCTTTTTGTAAAATCTGCAAGAGGATATTTGGATAGCTTTGAGGATTTCGTTGGAAACGGGATTGTCTTCATATAAACTCTAGACAGAAGCATTCTCAGAAGCTTCATTGGGATGTTTCAATTGAAGTCACAGTGTTGAACAGTCCCTTTCATAGAGCAGGTTTGAAACACTCTTTTTGTAGTATCTGGATGTGGACATTTCGAGCGCTTTCAGGCCTATGGTGAAAAAGGAAATATCTTCCCCTGAAAACTAGACAGAAGCATTCTCAGAAACTTATTTGTGATGTGCGCCCTCAACTAACAGTGTTGAACCTTTCTTTTGATAGAGCAGTTTTGAAACACTCTTTTTGTAATATCTGCAAGAGGATATTTGGATAGCTTTGAGGATTTCGTTGGAAACGGGATTACATATAAAAAGCAGACAGCAGCATTCTCAGTAAACTTATTTGTGATGTGCGCCCTCAACTAACAGTGTTGAACCTTTCTTTTGATAGAGCAGTTTTGAAACACTCTTTTTGTAATATCTGCAAGAGGATATTTGGATAGCTTTGAGGATTTCGTTGGAAACGGGATTGTCTTCATATAAACTCTAGACAGAAGCATTCTCAGAAGCTTCATTGGGATGTTTCAATTGAAGTCACAGTGTTGAACAGTCCCTTTCATAGAGCAGGTTTGAAACACTCTTTTTGTAGTATCTGGAAGTGGACATTTGGAGAGATCTCAGGAATACGGTGATAAAGGTAATATCTTCCAATAAAAGCTAGATAGAAGCAATGTCAGAAACTTTTTCATGATGTATCTACTCAGCTAACAGAGTTGAACCTTTCTTTTGAGAGAGCAGTTTTGAAACACTCTTTTTGTGGAATCTGGAAGTGGATATTTGTCTAGCTTTGAGGATTTCGTTGGAAACGGGATTACATATAAAAAGCAGACAGCAGCATTCCCAGAATCTTCTTTGTGATGTTTGCATTCAAGTCACAGAGTTGAACATTCCCTTTCATAGAGCAGGTTTGAAACACTCTTTTTGTACTATCTGTATGTGGACATTTGGAGCGCTTTCAGGCCTATGGTGAAAAAGGAAATATCTTCCCCTGAAAACTAGACAGAAGCATTCTCAGAATGTTATTTGTTATGTGCGCCCTCAACTAACAGTGTTGAAGCTTTCTTTTGATAGAGCAGTTTTGAAACACTCTTGTTGTAAAATCTGCAAGAGGAGATTTGGATAGCTTTGAGGATTTCTTTGGAAACGGGATTGTCTTCATATAAACTCTAGACAGAAGCATTCTCAGATGCTTCATTGGGATGTTTCAATTGAAGTCACAGTGTTGAACAGTCCCATTCATAGAGCAGGTTTGAAACACTCTTTTTGTAGTATCTGGATGTGGACATTTGGAGCGCTTTCAGGCCTATGGTAAAAAAGGAAATATCTTCCCCTGAAAACTAGACAGAAGCATTCTCAGAAACTTATTTGTGATGTGCGCCCTCAACTAACAGTGTTGAAGCTTTCTTTTGATAGAGCAGTTTTGAAACACTCTTTTTGTGGAATCTGCAAGTGGATATTTGTCTAGCTTTGAGGATTTCGTTGGAAACGGGATTACATATAAAAAGCAGACAGCAGCATTCTCAGAAACTTATTTGTGATGTGCGCCCTCAACTAACAGTGTTGAAGCTTTCTTTTGATAGAGCAGTTTTGAAACACTCTTTTTGTAATATCTGCAAGAGGATATTTGGATAGCTTTGAGGATTTCGTTGGAAACGGGATTAATTATACAAAGCAGACAGCAGCATTCTCAGAAGCTTCATTGGGATGTTTCAATTGAAGTCACAGTGTTGAACAGTCCCTTTCGTAGAGCAGGTTTGAAACACTCTTTTTGTAATATCTGGAAGTGGACATTTGGAGCGTTCTCAGGACTATGGTGAAAAAGGAAATATCTTCCAATAAAAGCTAGATAGAAGCAATGTCAGAAACTTTTTCATGATGTATCTACTCAGCTAACAGAGTTGAACCTTCCTTTGAGAGAGCAGTTTTGAAACACTCTTTTTGTGGAATCTGCAAGTGGATATTTGTCTAGCTTTGAGGATTTCGTTGGAAACGGGATTACATATAAAAAGCAGACAGCCGCATTCCCAGAAATTTCTTTGAGATGTTTGCATTCAAGTCACAGAGTTGAACATTCCCTTTCTTAGAGGAGCTTTGAAACACTCTTTTTGTAGAATCTGGATGTGGAAATTTGGAGCGCTTTCAGGCCTATGGTGAAAAAGGAAATATCTTCCCCTGAAAACTAGACAGAAGGATTCTCAGAATCTTATTTGTGATGTGCGCCCTCAACTAACAGTGTTGAAGCTTTCTTTTGATAGAGCAGTTTTGAAACACTCTTTTTGTAAAATCTGCAAGAGGATATTTGGATAGCTTTGAGGATTTCGTTGGAAACGGGATTGTCTTCATATAAACTCTATACAGAAGCATTCTCAGAAGCTTCATTGGGATGTTTCAATTGAAGTCACAGTGTTGAACAGTCCCTTTCATAGAGCAGGTTTGAAACACTCTTTTTGTACTATCTGGAAGTGGACATTTGGAGCGCTCTCAGGACTACGGTGAAAAAGGAAATATCTTCCAATAAAAGCAAGATAGAAGCAATGTCAGAAACTTTTTCATGATGTATCTACTCAGCTAACATACTTGAACCTTTCTTTTGAGAGAGCAGTTTTGAAACACTCTTTTTGTGGAATCTGCAAGTGGATATTTGTCTAGCTTTGAGGATTTCGTTGGAAACGGGATTACATATAAAAAGCAGACAGCAGCATTCCCAGAAACTTCTTTGTGACGTTTGCATTCAAGTCACAGAGTTGAACATTCCCTTTCATAGAGCAGGTTTGAAACACTCTTTTTGTAGTATCTGGATGTGGACATTTGGAGCGCTTTCAGGCCTATGGTGAAAAAGGAAATATCTTCCCCTGAAAACTAGACAGAAGCATTCTCAGAAACTTATTTGTGATGTGCGCCCTCAACTAACAGTGTTGAACCTTTCTTTTGATAGAGCAGTTTTGAAACACTCTTTTTGTAAAATCTGCAAGAGGATATTTGGATAGCTTTGAGGATTTCGTTGGAAACGGGATTGTCTTCATATAAACTCTAGACAGAAGCATTCTCAGAAGCTTCATTGGGATGTTTCAATTGAAGTCACAGTGTTGAACAGTCCCTTTCATAGAGCAGGTTTGAAACACTCTTTTTGTAGTATCTGGATGTGGACATTTGGAGCGCTTTCAGGCCTATGGTGAAAAAGGAAATATCTTCCCCTGAAAACTAGACAGAAGCATTCTCAGAAACTTATTTGTGATGTGCGCCTTCAACTAACAGTGTTGAAGCATTCTTTTGATAGAGCAGTTTTGAAACACTCTTTTTGTGGAATCTGCAAGTGGATATTTGTCTAGCTTTGAGGATTTCGTTGGAAACGGGATTACATATAAAAAGCAGACAGCAGCATTCTCAGAAACTTATTTGTGATGTGCGCCCTCAACTAACAGTGTTGAAGCTTTATTTTGATAGAGCAGTTTTGAAACACTCTTTTTGTAATATCTGCAAGAGAATATTTGGATAGCTTTGAGGATTTCGTTGGAAACGGGATTGTCTTCATATAAACTCTAGAAAGAAGCATTCTCAGAAGCTTCATTGGGATGTTTCAATTGAAGTCACAGTGTTGAACAGTTCCTTTCATAGAGCAGGTTTGAAACACTCTTTTTGTAGTATCTCGAAGTGGACATTTGGAGCGCTCTCAGGACTACGGTGAAAAAGGAAATATCTTCCAATAAAAGCTACATAGAAGCAATGTCAGAAACTTTTTCATGATGTATCTACTCAGCTAACAGAGTTGAACCTTTCTTTTGAGAGAGCAGTTTTGAAACACTCTTTTTGTGGAATCTGCAAGTGGATATTTGTCTAGCTTTGAGGATTTCGTTGGAAACGGGATTACATATAAAAAGCAGACAGCAGCATTCCCAGTAAACTTCTTTGTGAAGTTTGCATTCAAGTCACAGAGTTGAACATTCCCTTTCATAGAGCAGGTTTGAAACACTGTTTTTGTAGTATCTGGATGTGGACATTTGCAGCGCTTTCAGGCCTAAGGTGAAAAAGGAAATATCTTCCCCTGAAAACTAGACAGAAGCATTCTCAGAAACTTATTTGTGATGTGCGCCCTCAACTAACAGTGTTGAACCTTTCTTTTGATAGAGCAGTTTTGAAACACTCTTTTTGTAATATCTGCAAGAGGATATTTGGATAGCTTTGAGGATTTCGTTGGAAACGGGATTGTCTTCATATAAACTCTAGACAGAAGCATTCTCAGAAGCTTCATTGGGATGTTTCAATTGAAGTCACAGTGTTGAACAGTCCCTTTCATAGAGCAGGTTTCAAACACTCTTTTTGTAGTATCTGGATGTGGACATTTGGAGCGCTTTCAGGCCTATGGTTTAAAAGGAAATATCTTCCCCTGAAAACTAGACAGAAGCATTCTCAGAAACTTATTTGTGATGTGCGCCCTCAACTAACAGTGTTGAAGCATTCTTTTGATAGAGCAGTTTGAAACACTCTTTTTGTGGAATCTGCAAGTGGATATTTGTCTAGCTTTGAGGATTTCGTTGGAAAAGGGATTACATATAAAAAGCAGACAGCAGCATTCTCAGAAACTTATTTGTGATGTGCGCCCTCAACTAACAGTGTTGAAGCTTTCTTTTGATAGAGCAGTTTTGAAACACTCTTTTTGTAATATCTGCAAGAGGATATTTGGATAGCTTTGAGGATTTCGTTGGAAACGGGATTAATTATACAAAGCAGACAGCAGCATTCTCAGAAGCTTCATTGGGATGTTTCAATTGAAGTCACAGTGTTGAACAGTCCCTTTCATAGAGCAGGTTTGAAACACTCTTTTTGTAGTATCTGGAAGTGGACATTTGGAGCGCTCTCAGGACTACGGTGAAAAAGGAAATATCTTACAATAAAAGCTAGATAGAAGCAATGTCAGAAACTTTTTCATGGTGTATCTACTCAGCTAACAGAGTTGAAACTTTCTTTTGAGAGAGCAGTTTTGAAACACTCTTTTTGTGGAATCTGCAAGTGGATATTTGTCTAGCTTTGAGGATTTCGTTGGAAACGGGATTACATATAAAAAGCAGACAGCAGCATTCCCAGAAACTTCTTTGTGTTGTTTGCATTCAAGTCACAGAGTTGAACATTCCCTTTCATAGAGCAGGTTTGAAACACTCTTTTTGTAGTATCTGGATGTGGACATTTGCAGCGCTTTCAGGCCTAAGGTGAAAAAGGAAATATCTTCCCCTGAAAACTAGACAGAAGCATTCTCAGAAACTTATTTGTGATGTGCGCCCTCAACTAACAGTGTTGAAGCTTTCTTTTGATAGAGCAGTTTTGAAACACTCTTTTTGTAATATCTGCAAGAGGATATTTGGATAGCTTTGAGGATTTCGTTGGAAACGGGATTGTCTTCATATAAACTCTAGACAGAAGCATTCTCAGAAGCTTCATTGGGATGTTTCAATTGAAGTCACAGTGTTGAACAGTCCCTTTCATAGAGCAGGTTTGAAACACTCTTTTTGTAGTATCTGGATGTGGACATTTGGAGCGCTTTCAGGCCTATGGTGAAAAAGGAAATATCTTCCCCTGAAAACTAGACAGAAGCATTCTCAGAAACTTATTTGTGATGTGCGCAATCAACTAACAGTGTTGAAGCTTTCTTTTGATAGAGCAGTTTTGAAACACTCTTTTTGTGGAATCTGCAAGTGGATATTTGTCTAGCTTTGAGGATTTCGTTGGAAACGGGATTACATATAAAAAGAAGACAGCAGCATTCCCAGAATCTTCTTTGTGATGTTTGCATTCAAGTCCCAGAGTTGAACATTCCCTTTCATAGAGCAGGTTTGAAACACTCTTTTTATAGTATCTGGATGGGGACATTTGGAGCGCTTTCAGGCCTATGGTGAAAAAGGAAATATCTTCTCCTGAAAACTAGACAGAAGCATTCTCAGAATCTTATTTGTGATGTGCGCCCTCAACTAACAGTGTTGAACCTTTCTTTTGATAGAGCAGTTTTGAAACACTCTTTTTGTAATATCTGCAAGAGGATATTTGGATAGCTTTGAGGATTTCGTTGGAAACAGGATTGTCTTCATATAAACTCTAGACAGAAGAATTCTCAGAAGCTTCATTGGGATGTTTCAATTGAAGTCACAGTGTTGAACAGTCCCTTTCATAGAGCAGGTTTGAAACACTCTTTTTGTAGTATCTGGATGTGGACATTTGGAGCTTTTGCAGGCCTATAGTTTAAAAGGAAATATCTTCCCCTGAAAACTAGACAGAAGCATTCTCAGAAACTTATTTGTGATGTGCCCCCTCAACTAACAGTGTTGAAGCATTCTTTTGATAGAGCAGTTTTGAAACACTCTTTTTGTGGAATCTGCAAGTGGATATTTGTCTAGCTTTGAGGATTTCGTTGGAAACGGGATTACATATAAAAAGCAGACAGCAGCATTCTCAGAAACTTATTTGTGATGTGCGCCCTCAACTAACAGTGTTGAAGCTTTATTTTGATAGAGCAGTTTTGAAACACTCTTTTTGTAATATCTGCAAGAGAATATTTGGATAGCTTTGAGGATTTCGTTGGAAACGGGATTGTCTTCATATAAACTCTAGAAAGAAGCATTCTCAGAATCTTCATTGGGATGTTTCAGTTGAAGTCACAGTGTTGAACAGTCCCTTTCATAGAGCAGGTTTGAAACACTCTTTTTGTAGTATCTGGAAGTGGACATTTGGAGCGCTCTCAGGACTGCGGTGAAAAAGGAAATATCTTCCAATAAAAGCTAGATAGAAGCAATGTCAGAAACTTTTTCATGATGTATCTACTCAGCTAACAGAGTTGAACCTTTCTTTTGAGAGAGCAGTTTTGAAACACTCTTTTTGTGGAATCTGCAAGTGGATATTTGTCTAGATTTGAGGATTTCGTTGGAAACGGGATTACATATAAAAAGCAGACAGCAGCATTCCCAGAAACTTCTTTGTGATGTTTGCATTCAAGTCACAGAGTTGAACATTCCCTTTCATAGAGCAGGTTTGAAACACTCTTTTTGTAGTATCTGGATGTGGACATTTGGAGCGCTCTCAGGCCTATGGTGAAAAAGGAAATATCTTCCCCTGCAAACTAGACAGAAGCATTCTCAGAAACTTATTTGTGATGTGCGCCCTCAACTAACAGTGTTGAAGCTTTCTTTTGATAGAGCAGTTTTGAAACACTCTTTTTGTAATATCTGCAAGAGGATATTTGGATAGCTTTGAGGATTTCGTTGGAAACGGGATTGTCTTCATATAAACTCTAGACAGAAGCATTCTCAGAAGCTTCATTGGGATGTTTCAATTGAAGTCACAGTGTTGAACAGTCCCTTTCATAGAGCAGGTTTGAAACACTCTTTTTGTAGTATCTGGAAGTGGACATTTGGAGAGATCTCAGGAATACGGTGAAAAAGGAAATATCTTCTCCTGAAAACTAGACAGAAGCATTCTCAGAAACTTATTTGTGATGTGCGCCCTCAACTACCAGTGTTGAAGCATTCTTTTGATAGAGCAGTTTTGAAACACTCTTTTTGTGGAATCTGCAAGTGGATATTTGTCTAGCTTTGAGGATTTCGTTGGAAACGGGATTACATATAAAAAGCAGACAGCTAAGCATTCTCCGAAACTTATTTGTGATGGGCGCCCTCAACTAACAGTGTTGAAGCTTTCTTTTGATAGAGCAGTTTTGAAACACTCTTTTTGTAATATCTGCAAGAGGATATTTGGATAGCTTTCAGGATTTCGTTGGAAACGGGATTGTCTTCATATAAACTCTAGACATAAGCATTCTCAGAAGCTTCATTGGGATGTTTCAATTGAAGTCACAGTGTTGAACAGTTCCTTTCATAGAACAGGTTTGAAACACTCTTTTTGTAGTATCTGGAAGTGGACATTTGGAGCGCTCTCAGGACTATGGTGAAAAAGGAAATATCTTCCAATAAAAGCTACATAGAAGCAATGTCAGAAAATTTTTCATGAGGTATCTACTCAGCTAACAGAATTGAACCTTTCTTTTGAGAGAGCAGTTTTGAAACACTCTTTTTGTGGAATCTGCAGGTGGATATTTGTCTAGCTTTGAGGATTTCGTTGGAAACGGGATTACATATAAAAAGCAGACAGCAGCATTCCCAGAATCTTGTTTGTGATGTTTGCATTCAAGTCACAGAGTTGAACATTCCCTTTCAGAGAGCAGGTTTGAAACACTCTTTTTATAGTATCTGGATGTGGACATTTGGAGCGCTTTCAGGCCTATGCTGAAAAAGGAAATATCTTCTCCTGAAAACTAGACAGAAGGATTCTCAGAATCTTATTTGTGATGTGCGCCCTCAACTAACAGTGTTGAAGCTTTCTTTTGATAGAGCAGTTTTGAAACACTCTTTTTGTAAAATCTGCAAGAGGATATTTAGATAGCTTTGAGGATTTCGTTGGAAACGGGATTGTCTTCATATAAACTCTAGACAGAAGCATTCTCAGAAGCTTCATTGGGATGTTTCAACTGAAGTTACAGTGTTGAACAGTCCCTTTCATAGAGCAGGTTTCAAACACTCTTTTTGTAGTATCTGGATGTGGACATTTGGAGCGCTTTCAGGCCTATGGTTTAAAAGGAAATATCTTCCCCTGAAAACTAGACAGAAGCATTCTCAGAAACTTATTTGTGATGTGCCCCCTCAACTAACAGTGTTGAAGCTTTCTTTTGATAGAGCAGTTTTGAAACACTCTTTTTGTGGAATCTGCAAGTGGATATTTGTCTAGCTTTGAGGATTTCGTTGGAAACGGGATTACATATAAAAAGCAGACAGCAGCATTCTCAGTAAACTTATTTGTGATGTGCGCCCTCAACTAACAGTGTTGAACCTTTCTTTTGATAGAGCAGTTTTGAAACACTCTTTTTGTAATATCTGCAAGAGGATATTTGGATAGCTTTGAGGATTTCGTTGGAAACGGGATTGTCTTCATATAAACTCTAGACAGAAGCATTCTCAGAAGCTTCATTGGGATGTTTCAATTGAAGTCACAGTGTTGAACAGTCCGTTTCATAGAGCAGGTTTGAAACACTCTTTTTGTAGTATCTGGAAGTGGACATTTGGAGCGCTCTCAGGACTACGGTGAAAAAGGAAATATCTTCCAATAAAAGCTAGATAGAAGCAATGTCAGAAACTTTTTCATGATGTATCTACTCAGCTAACAGAGTTGAACCTTTTTTTTGAGAGACCAGTTTTGAAACAGTCTTTTTGTTGGATCTGCAGGTGGATATTTGTCTAGCTTTGACGATTTCGTAGGAAACGGGATTACATATAAAAAGCAGACAGCAGCATTCCCAGAATCTTGTTTGTGATGTTTCCATTCAAGTCACAGAGTTGAACATTCCGTTTCACAGAGCAGGTTTGAAACACTCTTTTTATAGTATCTGGATGTGGACATTTGGAGCGCTTTCAGGCCTATGGTGAAAAAGGAAATATCTTCTCCTGAAAACTAGACAGAAGCATTCTCAGAAACTTATTTGTGATGTGCGCCCTCAACTAACAGTGTTGAACCTTTCTTTTGAGAGAGCAGTTTTGAAACACTCTTTTTGTAAAATCTGCAAGAGGATATTTGGATAGCTTTGAGGATTTCGTTGGAAACGGGATTGTCTTCATATAAACTCTAGACAGTAGCATTCTCAGAAGCTTCATTGGGATGTTTCAATTGAAGTCACAGTGTTGAACAGTCCCTTTCATAGAGCAGGTTTGAAACACTCTTTTTGTAGTATCTGGATGTGGACATTTGGAGCGCTTTTAGGCCTATGGTGAAAAAGGAAATATCTTCCCCTGAAAACTAGACAGAAGCATTCTCAGAAACTTATTTGTGATGTGCGCCTTCAACTAACAGTGTTGAAGCATTCTTTTGATAGAGCAGTTTTGAAACACTCTTTTTGTGGAATCTGCAAGTGGATAATTGTCTAGCTTTGAGGATTTCGTTGGAAACGGGATTACATATAAAAAGCAGACAGCAGCATTCCCAGAAACTTCTTTGTGATGTTTGCATTCAAGTCACAGAGTTGAACATTCCCTTTCATAGAGCACGTTTGAAACACTCTTTTTGTAGTATCTGGATGTGGACATTTGGAGCGCTTTCAGGCCTATGGTGAAAAAGGAAATATCTTCCCCTGAAAACTAGACAGAAGCATTCCCAGAAACTTCTTTGTGATGTTTGCATTCAAGTCACACAGTTGAACATTCCCTTTCATAGAGCAGGTTTGAAACACTCTTTTTGTAGTATCTGGAAGTGGACATTTAGAGCGCTCTCAGGACTACGGTGAAAAAGGAAATATCTTCCAATAAAAGCTAGATAGAAGCAATGTCAGAAACTTTTTCATGATATATCTACTCAGCTAACAGAGTTCAACCTTTCTTTTGAGAGAGCAGTTTTGAAACACTCTTTTTGTGGAATCTGCAAGTGGATATTTGTCTAGCTTTGAGGATTTCGTTGGAAACGGGATTACATATAAAAAGCAGACAGCAGCATTGCCAGAAACTTCTTTGTGATGTTTGCATTCAAGTCACAGTGTTGAACATTCCCTTTCATAGAGCAGGTTTGAAACACTCTTTTTGTAGTATCTGGATGTGGACATTTGGAGCGCTTTCAGGTCTATGGTGAAAAAGGAAATATCTTCCCCTGAAAACTAGACAGAAGCATTCTCAGAATCTTATTTGTGATGTGCACCCTCAACTAACAGTGTTGAACCTTTCTTTTGATAGAGCAGTTTTGAAACACTCTTTTTGTAAAATCTGCAAGAGGATATTTGGTTAGCTTTGAGGATTTCGTTGGAAACGGGATTGTCTTCATATACAATCTAGACAGAAGCATTCTCAGAAGCTTCATTGGGATGTTTCAATTGATGTCACAGAGTTGAACATTCCATTTCATAGAGCAGGTTTGAAACACTCTTTTTGTAGTATCTGGAAATGGACATTTGGAGCGCTCTCAGGACTACGGTGAAAAAGGAAATATCTTCCAATAAAAGCTAGATAGAAGCAATGTCAGAAACTTTTTCATGATGTATCTACTCAGCTAACAGAGTTGAACCTTTCTTTTGAGAGAGCAGTTTTGAAACACTCTTTTTGTGGAATCTGGAAGTGGATATTTGTCTAGCTTTGAGGATTTCGTTGGAAACGGGATTACATATAATAAGCAGACAGCAGCATTCCCAGTAACTTCTTTGTGATGTTTGCATTCAAGTCACAGAGTTGAACATTCCCTTTCATAGAGCAGGTTTGAAACACTCTTTTTGAAGTATCTGGATGTGGACATTTGGAGCGCTTTCAGGCCTATGGTGAAAAAGGAAATATCTTTCCCTGAAAACTAGACAGAAGCATTCTCAGAAACTTATTTGTGATGTGCGCCCTCAACTAACAGTGTTGAACCTTTCTTTTGATAGAGCAGTTTTGAAACACTCTTTTTGTAAAATCTGCAAGAGGATATTTGGATAGCTTTGAGGATTTCGTTGGAAACGGGATTATCTTCATATAAACTCTAGACAGAAGCATTCTCAGAAGCTTCATTGGGATGTTTCAATTGAAGTCACAGTGTTGAACAGTCCCTTTCATAGAGCAGGTTTGAAACACTCTTTTTGTAGTATCTGGATGTGGACATTTCGAGCGCTTTCAGGCCTATGGTGAAAAAGGAAATATCTTCCCCTGAAAACTAGACAGAAGCATTCTCAGAAACTTATTTGTGATGTGCGCCCTCAACTAACAGTGTTGAAGCTTTCTTTTGATACAGCAGTTTTGAAACACTCTTTTTGTGGAATCTGCAAGTGTATATTTGTCTAGCTTTGAGGATTTCGTTGGAAACGGGATTACATATAAAAAGCAGACAGCAGCATTCTCAGAAACTTATTTGTGATGTGCGCCCTCAACTAACAGTGTTGAAGCTTTCTTTTGATAGAGCAGTTTTGAAACACTCTTTTTGTAATATCTGCAAGAGGATATTTGGATAGCTTTGAGGATTTCGTTGGAAACGGGATTAATTATACAAAGCAGACAGCAGCATTCTCAGAAGCTTCATTGGGATGTTTCAATTGAAGTCACAGTGTTGAACAGTCCCTTTCATAGAGCAGGTTTGAAACACTCTTTTTGTACTATCTGGAAGTGGACATTTGGAGCGCTCTCAGGACTACGGTGAAAAAGGAAATATCTTCCAATAAAAGCTAGATAGAAGCAATGTCAGAAACTTTTTCATGATGTATCTACTCAGCTAACAGAGTTGAACCTTTCCTTTGAGAGAGCAGTTTTGAAACACTCTTTTTGTTGAATCTGCAAGTGGATATTTGTCTAGCTTTGAGGATTTCGTTGGAAACGGGATTACATATAAAAAGCAGACAGCAGCATTCCCAGAAACTTCTTTGTGATGTTTGCATTCAAGTCACAGAGTTGAACATTCCCTTTCATAGAGCAGGTTTGAAACACTCTTTTTGTAGTATCTGCATGTGGACATTTGGAGCGCTTTCAGGCCTATGGTGAAAAAGGAAATATCTTCCCCTGAAAACTAGACAGAAGCATTCTCAGAATCTTATTTGTGATGTGCGCCCTCAACTAACAGTGTTGAAGCTTTCTTTTGATAGAGCAGTTTTGAAACACTCTTTTTGTAAAATCTGCAAGAGGATATTTGGATAGCTTTGAGGATTTCGTTGGAAACGGGATTGTCTTCATATAAACTCTAGACAGAAGCATTCTCAGAAGCTTCATTGGGATGTTTCAATTGAAGTCACAGTGTTGAACAGTCCCTTTGATAGAGCAGGTTTGAAACACTCTTTTTGTAGTATCTGGATGTGGACATTTGCAGCGCTTTCAGGCATAAGGTGAAAAAGGAAATATCTTCCCCTGAAAACTAGACAGAAGCATTCTCAGAAACTTACTTGTGATGTGCGCCCTCAACTAACAGTGTTGAAGCTTTCTTTTGATAGAGCAGTTTTGAAACACTCTTTTTGTGGAATCTGCAAGTGGATGTTTGTCTAGCTTTGAGGATTTCTTTGGAAACGGGATTACATATAAAAAGCAGACAGCAGCATTCTCAGAAACTTATTTGTGATGTGCGCCCTCAACTAACAGTGTTGAAGCTTTATTTTGATAGAGCAGTTTTGAAACACTCTTTTTGTAATATCTGCAAGAGAATATTTGGATAGCTTTGAGGATTTCGTTGGAAACGGGATTGTCTTCATATAAACTCTAGAAAGAAGCATTCACAGAAGCTTCATTGGGATGTTTCAATGGAAGTCACAGTGTTGAACAGTCCCTTTCATAGAGCAGGTTTGAAACACTCTTTTTGTAGTATCTGGAAGTGGACATTTGTAGAGATCTCAGGAATACGGTGATAAAGGAAATATCTTCCAATAAAAGCTAGATAGAAGCAATGTCAGAAACTTTTTCATGATGTATCTACTCAGCTAACAGAGTTGAACCTTTCCTTTGAGAGAGCAGTTTTGAAACACTCTTTTTGTGGAATCTGCAAGTGGATATTTGTCTAGCTTTGAGGATTTCGTTGGAAACGGGATTACATATAAAAAGCAGACAGCAGCATTCCCAGAAACTTCTTTGTGACGTTTGCATTCAAGTCACAGAGTTGAACATTCCCTTTCATAGAGCAGGTTTGAAACACTCTTTTTGTAGTATCTGGATGTGGACATTTGGAGCGCTTTCAGGCCTATGGTGAAAAAGGAAATATCTTCCCCTGAAAACTAGACAGAAGCATTCTCAGAAACTTATTTGTGATGTGCGCCCTCAACTAACAGTGTTGAACCTTTCTTTTGATAGAGCAGTTTTGAAACACTCTTTTTGTAATATCTGCAAGAGGATATTTGGATAGCTTTGAGGATTTCGTTGGAAACGGGATTGTCTTCATATAAACTCTAGACAGAAGCATTCTCAGAAGCGTCATTGGGATGTTTCAATTGAAGTCACAGTGTTGAACAGTCCCTTTCATAGAGCAGGTTTGAAACACTCTTTTTGTAGTATCTGGATGTGGACATTTGGAGCGCTTTCAGGCCTATGGTTTAAAAGGACATATCTTCCCCTGAAAACTAGACAGAAGCATTCTCAGAAACTTATTTGTGATGTGCGCCCTCAACTAACAGTGTTGAAGCTTTCTTTTGATAGAGCAGTTTTGAAACACTCTTTTTGTGGAATCTGCAAGTGGATATTTGTCTAGCTTTGAGGATTTTGTTGGAAACGGGATTACATATAAAAAGCAGACAGCAGCATTCTCAGAAACTTATTTGTGATGTGCGCCCTCAACTAACAGTGTTGAACCTTTCTTTTGATAGAGCAGTTTTGAAACACTCTTTTTGTAATATCTGCTAGAGGATATTTGGATAGCTTTGAGGATTTCGTTGGAAACGGGATTGTCTTCATATAAACTCTAGACAGAAGCATTCTCAGAAGCTTCATTGGGATGTTTCAATTGAAGTCACAGTGTTGAACAGTTCCTTTCATAGAACAGGTTTGAAACACTCTTTTTGTAGTATCTGGAAGTGGACATTTGGAGCGCTCTCAGGACTACGGTGAAAAAGGAAATATCTTCCAATAAAAGCTACATAGAAGCAATGTCAGAAACATTTTCATGATGTATCTACTCAGCTAACAGAGTTGAACCTTTCTCTTGAGAGAGCAGTTTTGAAACCCTCTTTTGGTGGAATCTGCAAGTGGATATTTGTCTAGCTTTGAGGATTTCGTTGGAAACGGGATTACATATAAAAAGCAGACAGCAGCATTCCCAGAAACTTCTTTGTGATGTTTGCATTCAAGTCACAGAGTTGAACATTCCCTTTCATAGAGCAGGTTTGAAACACTCTTTTTGTAGTATCTGGATGTGGACATTTGGAGCGCTTTCAGGCCTATGGTGAAAAAGGAAATATCTTCCCCTGAAAACTAGACAGAAGCATTCTCAGAATCTTATTTGTGATGTGCGCCCTCAACTAACAGTGTTGAAGCTTTCTTTTGATAGAGCAGTTTTGAAACACTCTTTTTGTAAAATCTGCAAGAGGATATTTGGATAGCTTTGAGGATTTCGTTGGAAACGGGATTGTCTTCATATAAACTCTAGACAGAAGAATTCTCAGAAGCTTCATTGGGATGTTTCAATTGAAGTCACAGTGTTGAACAGTCCCTTTCATAGAGCAGGTTTGAAACACTCTTTTTGTAGTATCTGGATGTGGACATTTGGAGCTTTTGCAGGCCTATAGTTTAAAAGGAAATATCTTCCCCTGAAAACTAGACAGAAGCATTCTCAGAAACTTATTTGTGATGTGCGCCCTCAACTAACAGTGTTGAAGCTTTCTTTTGATAGAGCAGTTTTGAAACACTCTTTTTGTGGAATCTGCAAGTGGATATTTGTCTAGCTTTGAGGATTTCGTTGGAAACGGGATTACATATAAAAAGCAGACAGCAGCATTCTCAGAAACTTATTTGTGATGTGCGCCCTCAACTAACAGTGTTGAAGCTTTCTTTTGATAGAGCAGTTTTGAAACACTCTTTTTGTAATATCTGCAAGAGGATATTTGGATAGCTTTGAGGATTTCGTTGGAAACGGGATTAATTATACAAAGCAGACAGCAGCATTCTCAGAAGCTTCATTGGGATGTTTCAATTGAAGTCACAGTGTTGAACAGTCCCTTTCATAGAGCAGGTTTGAAACACTCTTTTTGTAGTATCTGGAAGTGGACATTTGGAGCGCCCTCAGGACTACGGTGAAAAAGGAAATATCTTCCAATAAAAGCTACATAGAAGCAATGTCAGAAACTTTTTCATGATGTATCTACTCAGCTAACAGAGTTGAACCTTTCTTTTGAGAGAGCAGTTTTGAAACACTCGTTTTGTGGAATCTGCAAGTGGATATTTGTCTACCTTTGAGGATTTCGTTGGAAACGGGAATACATATAAAAAGCAGACAGCAGCATTCCCAGAAACTTCTTTGTGATGTTTGCATTCAAGTCACAGAGTTGAACATTCCCTTTCATAGAGCAGGTTTGAAACACTCTTTTTGTAGTATCTGGATGTGGACATTTGGAGTGCTTTCAAGCCTATGGTGAAAAAGGAAATATCTTCCCCTGAAAACTAGACAGAAGCATTCTCAGAAACTTATTTGTGATGTGCGCCCTCAACTAACAGTGTGGAACTTTTCTTTTGATAGAGCAGTTTGGAAACACTCTTTTTGTAAAATCTGCAAGAGGATATTTGGATAGCTTTGAGGATTTCGTTGGAAACGGGATTGTCTTCATATAGAATCTAGACAGAAGCATTCTCAGAAGCTTCATTGGGATGTTTCAATTGAAGTCACAGTGTTGAACAGTTCCTTTCATAGAGCAGGTTTGAAACACTCTTTTTGTAGTATCTCGAAGTGGACATTTGGAGCGCTCTCAGGACTACGGTGAAAAAGGAAATATCTTCCAATAAAAGCTACATAGAAGCAATGTCAGAAAATTTCTCATGATGTGTCTACTCAGCTAACAGGGTTGAACCTTTCTTTTGAGAGAGCAGTTTTGAAACACTCTTTTTGTGGAATCTGCAAGTGGATATTTGTCTAGCTTTGAGGATTGCGTTGGAAACGGGATTACATATAAAAAGCAGACAGCAGCATTCCCAGAAACTTCTTTGTGATATTTGCATTCAAGTCACAGACTTGAACATTCCCTTCCATAGAGCGTGTTTGAAACACTCTTTTTGTAGTATCTGGATGTGGACATTTGGAGCGCTTTCAGGCCTATGGTGAAAAAGGAAATATCTTCCTCTGAAAACTAGACAGTAGCATTCTCAGAAACTTATTTGTGATGTGCGCCCTCAACTAACAGTGTTAAACCTTTCTTTTGATAGAGTAGTTTTGAAACACTCTTTTTGTAAAATCTGCAAGAGGATATTTGGATAGCTTTGAGGATTTCGTTGGAAACAGGATTGTCTTCATATAAACTCTAGACAGTAGCATTCTCAGAAGCGTCATTGGGATGTTTCAATTGAAGTCACAGTGTTGAACAGTCCCTTTCATACAGCAGGTTTGAAACACTCTTTTTGTAGTATCTGGATGTGGACATTTGGAGCGCTTTCAGGCCTATGGTTTAAAAGGAAATATCTTCCCCTGAAAACTAGACAGAAGCATTCTCAGAAACTTATTTGTGATGTGCGCCCTCAACTAACAGTGTTGAAGCTTTCTTTTGATAGAGCAGTTTTGAAACACTCTTTTTGTGGTATCTGCAAGTGGATATTTGTCTAGCTTTGAGGATTTCGTTGGAAACGGGATTACATATAAAAAGCAGACAGCTAAGCATTCTCCGAAACTTATTTGTGATGGGCGCCCTCAACTAACAGTGTTGAAGCTTTCTTTTGATAGAGCAGTTTTGAAACACTCTTTTTGTAATATCTGCAAGAGGATATTTGGATAGCTTTCAGGATTTCGTTGGAAACGGGATTGTCTTCATATAAACTCTAGACATAAGCATTCTCAGAAGCTTCATTGGGATGTTTCAATTGAAGTCACAGTGTTGAACAGTCCCTTTGATAGAGCAGGTTTGAAAAACTTTTTTTGTAGTATCTGGAAGTGGACATTTGGAGCGTTCTCAGGACTACAGTGAAAAAGGAAATATCTTCCAATAAAAGCTAGGTAGAAGCAATGTCAGAAAGTTTTTCATGATGTATCCACTCAGCTAACAGAGTTGAACCTTTCTTTTGAGAGAGCAGTTTTGAAACACTCTTTTTGTGGAATCTGCAAGTGGATATTTGTCTAGCTTTGAGGATTGCGTTGGAAACGGGATTACATTTAAAAAGCAGACAGCAGCATTCCCAGAAACTTCTTTGTGATATTTGCATTGAAGTCACAGAGTTGAACATTCCCTTTCATAGAGCAGATTTGAAACACTCTTTTTGTAGTATCAGGATGTGGACATTTGGAGCGCTTTCAGGCCTATGGTGAAAAAGGAAATATCTTCCCCTGAAAACTAGACAGAAGCATTCTCAGAAACTTATTTGTGATGTGCGCCCTCAACTAACAGTGTTAAACCTTTCTTTTGATAGAGTAGTTTTGAAACACTCTTTTTGTAAAATCTGCAAGAGGATATTTGGATAGCTTTGAGGATTTCGTTGGAAACGGGATTGTCTTCATATAAACTCTAGACAGTAGCATTCTCAGAAGCTTCATTGGGATGTTTCAATTGAAGTCACAGTGTTGAACAGTCCCTTTCATAGAGCAGGTTTGAAACACTCTTTTTGTAGTATCTGGATGTGGACATTTGGAGCGCTTTCAGGCCTATGGTTTAAAAGGAAATATCTTCCCCTGAAAACTAGACAGAAGCATTCTCAGAAACTTATTTGTGATGTGCGCCCTCAATTAACAGTGTTGAACCTTTCTTTTGATAGAGCAGTTTTGAAACACTCTTTTTGTAATATCTGCAAGAGGATATTTGGATAGCTTTGAGGATTTCGATGGAAACGGGATTACATATAAAAAGCAGACAGCAGCATTCTCAGAAACTTATTTGTGATGTGCGCCCTCAACTAACAGTGTTGAAGCTTTCTTTTGATAGAGCAGTTTTGAAACACTCTTTTTGTAATATCTGCAAGAGGATATTTGGATAGCTTTGAGGATTTCGTTGGAAACGGGATTAATTATACAAAGCAGACAGCAGCATTCTCAGAAGCTTCATTGGGATGTTTCAATTGAAGTCACAGTGTTGAACAGTCCCTTTCATAGAGCAGGTTTGAAACACTCTTTTTGTAGTATCTGGAAGTGGACATTTGGAACGCTCTCAGGACTGCGGTGAAAAAGGAAATATCTTCCAATAAAAGCTAGATAGAAGCAATGTCAGAAACTTTTTCATGATGTATCTACTCAGCTAAAAGAGTTGAACCTTTCTTTTGTGAGAGCAGTTTTGAAACACTCTTTTTGTGGAATCTGCAAGTGGATATTTGACTAGCTTTGAGGATTTCGTTGGAAACGGGATTACATATAAAAAGCAGACAGCAGCATTCCCAGAAACTTCTTTGTGATGTTTGCATTTAAGTGACAGAGTTGAACATTCCCTTTCATAGAGCAGGTTTGAAACACTCTTTTTGTAGTATCTGGATGTGGAAATTTGGAGCGCTTTCAGGCCTATGGTGAAAAAGGAAATATCTTCCCCTGAAAACTAGACAGAAAGCATTCTCAGAAACTTATTTGTGATGTGCGCCCTCAACTAACAGTGTTGAACCTTTGTTTTGATAGAGCAGTTTTGAAACACTCTTTTTGTAATATCTGCAAGAGGATATTTGGATAGCTTTGAGGATTTCTTTGGAAACGGGATTGTCTTCATATAAACTCTAGACAGAGCATTCTCAGAAGCTTCATTGGGATGTTTCAATTGAAGTCACAGTGTTGAACAGTCCCTTTCATAGAGCAGGTTTGAAACACTCTTTTTGTAGTATCTGGATGTGGACATTTGGAGCGCTTTCAGGCCTATGGTTTAAAAGGAAATATCTTCCCCTGAAAACTAGACAGAAGCATTCTCAGAAACTTATTTGTGTTGTGCGCCCTCAACTAACAGTGTTGAAGCATTCTTTTGATAGAGCAGTTTTGAAACACTCTTTTTGTGGAATCTGCAAGTGGATATTTGTCGAGCTTTGAGGATTTCGTTGGAAACGGGATTACATATAAAAAGCAGACAGCAGCATTCCCAGAAACTTCTTTGTGATGTTTGCATTCAAGTCACAGAGTTGAACATTCCCTTTCATAGAGCAGGTTTGAAACACTCTTTTTGTAGTATCTGGATGTGGACATTTGGAGCGCTTTCAGGCCTATGGTGAAAAAGGAAACATCTTCCCCTGAAAACTAGACAGAAGCATTCTCAGAATCTCATTTGTGATGTGCGCCCTCAACTAACAGTGTTGAAGCTTTCTTTTGATAGAGCAGTTTTCAAACACTCTTTTTGTAAAATCTGCAATAGGATATTTGTATGGCTTTGAGGATTTCGTTGGAAACGGGATTGTCTTCATATAAACTCTAGACAGAAGCATTCTCAGAAGCTTCATTGGGATGTTTCAATTAAAGTCACAGTGTTGAACAGTCCCTTTCATAGAGCAGGTTTGAAACACTCTTTTTGTAGTATCTGGAAGCGGACATTTGGAGAGATCTCAGAAATACGGTGATAAAGGAAATATCTTCCAATAAAAGCTAGATAGAAGCAATGTCAGAAACTTTTTCATGATGTATCTACTCAGCTAACAGAGTTGAACCTTTCTTTTGAGAGAGCAGTTTTGAAACCCTCTTTTTGTGGAATCTGCAAGTGGATATTTGTCTAGCTTTGAGGATTTCGTTGGAAACGGGATTACATATAAAAAGCAGACAGCAGCATTCCCAGAAACTTCTTTGTGAAATTTGCATTCAAGTCACAGACTTGAACATTCCCTTTCATAGAGCAGGTTTGAAACACTCTTTTTGTAGTATCTGGATGTGGACATTTGGAGCGCTTTCAGGCCTATGGTGAAAAAGGAAATATCTTCCCCTGAAAACTATACAGAAGCATTCTCAGAAACTTATTTGTGATGTGCGCCCTCAACTAACAGTGTTGAACCTTTCTTTTGATAGAGCAGTTTTGAAACACTCTTTTTGTAAAATCTGCAAGAGGATATTTGGATAGCTTTGAGGATTTCGTTGGAAACGGGATTGTCTTCATATAGAATCTAGACAGAAGCATTCTCAGAAGCTTCATTGGGATGTTTCAATTGAAGTCACAGTGTTGAACAGTCCCTTTCATAGAGCAGGTTTGAAACACTCTTTTTGTAGTATCTGGATGTGGACATTTGGAGTGCTTTCAGGCCTATGGTTTAAAAGGAAATATCTTCCCCTGAAAACTGGACAGAAGCATTCTCAGAAACTTATTTGTGATGTGCGCCCTCAACTAACAGTGTTGAAGCTTTCTTTTGATAGAGCAGTTTTGAAACACTCTTTTTGTGGAATCTGCAAGTGGATATTTGTCTAGCTTTGAGAATTTCGTTGGAAACGGGATTACATATAAAAAGCAGACAGCAGCATTCTCAGAAACTTATTTGTGATGTGCGCCCTCAACTAACAGTGTTGAACCTTTCTTTTGATAGAGCAGTTTTGAAACACTCTTTTTGTAATATCTGCAAGAGGATACTTGGATAGCTTTGAGGATTTCGTTGGAAACGGGATTGTCTTCATATAAACTCTAGACAGAAGCATTCTCAGAAGCTTCATTGGGATGTTTCAATTGAAGTCACAGTGTTGAACAGTCCCTTTCATAGAGCAGGTTTGAAACACTCTTTTTGTAGTATCTGGAAGTGGACATTTGGAGAGATCTCAGGAATACGGTGATAAAGGAAATATCTTCCAATAAAAGCTAGATAGAAGCAATGTCAGAGAATTTTTCATGATGTATCTACTCAGCTAACAGAGTTGAACCTTTCTTTTGAGAGAGCAGTTTTGAAACACTCTTTTGGTGGAATCTGCAAGTGGATATTTGTCTAGCTTTGAGGATTGCGTTGGAAACGGGATTACATGTAAAAAGCAGACAGCAGCATTCCCAGAAACTTCTTTGTGATATTTGCATTCAAGTCACAGACTTGAACATTCCCTTTCATAGAGCAGGTTTGAAACACTCTTTTTGTAGTATCTGGATGTGGACATTTGGAGCGCTTTCAGGCCTATGGTGAAAAAGGAAATATCTTCCCCTGAAAACTAGACAGAAGCATTCTCAGAAACTTATTTGTGATGTGCGCCCTCAACTAGCAGTGTTGAAGCTTTCTTTTGATAGAGCAGTTTTGAAACACACTTTTTGTAATATCTGCAAGAGGATATTTGGATAGCTTTGAGGATTTCGTTGGAAACGGGATTGTCTTCATATAAACTCTAGACAGAAGCATTCTCAGATGCTTCATTGGGATGTTTCAATTGAAGTCACAGTGTTGAACAGTCCCTTTCATAGAGCAGGTTTGAAACACTCTTTTTGTAGTATCTGGATGTGGACATTTGGAGCGCTTTCAGTTCTATGGTGAAAAAGGAAATATCTTCCCCTGAAAACTAGACAGAAGCATTCTCAGAAACTTATTTGTGATGTGCGCCCTCAACTAACAGTGTTGAAGCTTTCTTTTGATAGAGCAGTTTTGAAACACTCTTTTTGTGGAATCTGCATCTGGATATTTTTCTAGCTTTGAGGATTTCGTTGGAAACGGGATTACATATAAAAAGCAGACAGCAGCATTCTCAGAAACTTATTTGTGATGTGCGCCCTCAACTAACAGTGTTGAAGCTTTATTTTGATAGAGCAGTTTTGAAACACTCTTTTTGTAATATCTGCAAGAGAATATTTGGATAGCTTTGAGGATTTCGTTGGAAACGGGATTGTCTTCATATAAACTCTAGAAAGAAGCATTCTCAGAAGCTTCATTGGGATGTTTCAATTGAAGTCACAGTGTTGAACAGTCCCTTTCATAGAGCAGGTTTGAAACACTCTTTTTGTAGTATCTGGAAGTGGACATTTGGAGCGCTCTCAGGACTGCGGTGAAAAAGGAAATATCTTCCAATAAAAGCTACATAGAAGCAATGTCAGAAACTTTTTCATGATGTATCTACTCAGCTAACAGAGTTGAACCTTTCTTTTGAGAGAGCAGTTTTGAGACACTCTTTTTGTGGAATCTGCAAGTGGATATTTGTCTAGCTTTGAGGATTTCGTTGGAAACGGGAATACATATAAAAAGAAGACAGCAGCATTCCCAGAATCTTGTTTGTGATGTTTGCATTCAAGTCACAGAGTTGAACATTCCCTTTCAGAGAGCAGGTTTGAAACACTCTTTTTATAGTATCTGGATGTGGACATTTGGAGCGCTTTCAGGCCTATGATGAAAAAGGAAATATCTTCTCCTGAAAACTAGACAGAAGCATTCTCAGAATCTTATTTGTGATGTGCGCCCTCAACTAACAGTGTTGAAGCTTTCTTTTGATAGAGCAGTTTTGAAACACTCTTTTCGTAAAATCTGCAAGAGGATATTTGGATAGCTTTGAGGATTTCGTTGGAAACGGGATTGTCTTCATATAAACTACTAGACAGAAGCATTCTCAGAAGCTTCATTGTGATGTTTCAATTGAAGTCACAGTGTTGAACACTCCCTTTCATAGAGCAGGTTTGAAACACTCTTTTTGTAGTATCTGGAAGTGGACATTTGGAGCGCTCTCAGGACTACGGTGAAAAAGGAATTATCTTCCAATAAAAGCTAGATAGAAGCAATGTCAGAAACTTTTTCATGATGTATCTACTCAGCTAACAGAGTTGAACCTTTCTTTTGAGAGAGCAGTTTTGAAACACTCTTTTTGTGGAATCTGCAAGTGGATATTTGTCTAGCTTTGAGGATTTCGTTGGAAACGGGATTACATATAAAAAGCAGACAGCAGCATTCCCAGAATCTTCTTTGTGATGTTTGCATTCAAGTCACAGAGTTGAACATTCCCTTTCATAGAGCAGGTTTCAAACACTCTTTTTGTAGTATCTGGATGTGGACATTTGGAGCGCTTTTCAGGCCTATGGTGAAAAAGGAAATATCTTCCCCTGAAAACTAGACAGAAGCATTCTCAGAAACTTATTTGTGATGTGCGCCCTCAACTAACAGTGTTGAACTTTTCTTTTGATGGAGCAGTTTTGAAACACTCTTTTTGTAAAATCTGCAAGAGGATATTTGGATAGCTTTGAGGATTTCGTTGGAAACGGGATTGTCTTCATATAAAATCTAGACAGAAGCATTCTCAGATGCTTCATTGGGATGTTTCAATTGAAGTCACAGTGTTGAACAGTCCCATTCATAGAGCAGGTTTGAAACACTCTTTTTGTAGTATCTGGATGTGGACATTTGGAGCGCTTTCAGGCCTATGGTAAAAAAGGAAATATCTTCCCCTGAAAACTAGACAGAAGCATTCTCAGAAACTTATTTGTGATGTGCGCCCTCAACTAACAGTGTTGAAGCTTTCTTTTGATAGAGCAGTTTTGAAACACTCTTTTTGTAATATCTGCAAGAGGATATTTGGATAGCTTTGAGGATTTCGTTGGAAACGGGATTAATTATAAAAAGCAGACAGCAGCATTCTCAGAAACTTATTTGTGATGTGCGCCCTCAACTAACAGTGTTGAACCTTTCTTTTGATAGAGCAGTTTCGAAACATTCTTTTTGTAAAATCTGCAAGAGGATATTTGCATAGATTTGAGGATTTCGTTGGAAACGGGATTGTCTTCATATAGAATCTAGACAGAATCATTCTCAGAAGCTTCATTGGGATGTTTCAATTGAAGTCACAGTGTTGAACAGTCCCTTTCATAGAGCAGATTTGAAACACTCTTTTTGTAGTATCTGGAAGTGGACATTTGGAGCGTTCTCAGGACTACAGTGAAAAAGGAAATATCTTCCAATAAAACCTAGATAGAAGCAAAGTCAGAAACTTTTTAATGATCTATCTACTCAGCTAACAGAGTTGAACCTTTCTTTTGAGAGAGCAGTTTTGAAACACTCTTTTGGTGGAATCTGCAAGTGGATATTTGTCTAGCTTTGAGGATTGCGTTGGAAACGGGATTATATATAAAAAGCAGACAGCAGCATTCACAGTAACTTCTTTGTGATGTTTTCATTCAAGTCACAGAGTTGAACATTCCCTTTCATAGAGCAGGTTTGAAACACTCTTTTTGTACTATCTGTATGTGGACATTTGGAGCGCTTTCAGGCCTATGGTGAAAAAGGAAATATCTTCCCCTGAAAACTAGACAGAAGCGTTCTCAGAATCTTATTTGTGATGTGCGCCCTCAACTAACAGTGTTGAAGCTTTCTTTTGATAGAGCAGTTTTGAAACACTCTTTTTGTAAAATCTCCAAGAGGATATTTGGATAGCTTTGAGGATTTCTTTGGAAATGGGATTGTCTTCATATAAACTCTAGACAGAAGCATTCTCAGAAGCTTCATTGGGATGTTTCAATTAAAGTCACAGTGTTGAACAGTCCCTTTCATAGAGCAGGTTTGAAACACTCTTTTTGTAGTATCTGGATGTGGACATTTGGAGCGCTTTCAGGCCTATGGTGAAAAAGGAAATATCTTCCCCTGAAAACTAGACAGAAGCATTCTCAGAAACTTATTTGTGATGTGCGCCCTCAACTAACAGTGTTGAAGCTTTCTTTTGATAGAGCAGTTTTGAAACACTCTTTTTGTGGAATCTGCAAGTGGATGTTTGTCTAGCTTTGAGGATTTCGATGGAAACGGGATTACATATAAAAAGCAGACAGCAGCATTCTCAGAAACTTATTTGTGATGTGCGCCCTCAACTAACAGTGTTGAAGCTTTCTTTTGATAGAGCAGTTTTGAAACACTCTTTTTGTAATATCTGCAAGAGGATATTTGGATAGCTTTGAGGATTTCGTTGGAAACGGGATTAATTATACAAAGCAGACAGCAGCATTCTCAGAAGCTTCATTGGGATGTTTCAATTGAAGTCACAGTGTTGAACAGTCCCTTTCATAGAGCAGGTTTGAAACACTCTTTTTGTAGTATCTGGAAGTGGACATTTGGAGCGCACTCAGGACTGCGGTGAAAAAGGAAATATCTTCCAATAAAAGCTAGATAGAAGCAATGTCAGAAACTTTTTCATGATGTATCTACTCAGCTAACAGAGTTGAACCTTCCTTTGAGAGAGCAGTTTTGAAACACTCTTTTTGTGGAATCTGCAAGTGGATATTTGTCTAGCTTTGAGGATTTCGTTGGAAACGGGATTACATATAAAAAGCAGACAGCAGCATTCCCAGAAACTTCTTTGTGATGTTTGCATTCAAGTCACAGAGTTGAACGTTCCCTTTTATAGAGCAGGTTTGAAACACTCTTTTTGTAGTATCTGGATGTGGACATTTGGAGCGCTTTCAGGCCTATGGTGAAAAAGGAAATATCTTCCCCTGAAAACTAGACAGAAGCATTCTCAGAAACTTATTTGTGATGTGCGCCCTCAACTAACAGTGTTGAACTTTTCTTTTGATAGAGCAGTTTTGAAACACTCTTTTTGTAAAATCTGCAAGAGGATATTTGGATAGCTTTGAGGATTTCGTTGGAAACGGGATTGTCTTCATATACAATCTAGACAGAAAACATTCTCAGAAGCGTCATTGGGATGTTTCAATTGAAGTCACAGTGTTGAACAGTCCCTTTCCTAGAGCAGGTTTGAAACACTCTTTTTGTAGTATCTGGATGTGGACATTTGGAGCGCTTTCAGGCCTATGGTTTAAAAGGAAATATCTTCCCCTGAAAACTAGACAGAAGCATTCTCAGAAACTTATTTGTGATGTGCGCCCTCAACTAACAGTGTTGAAGCTTTCTTTTGATAGAGCAGTTTTGAAACACTCTTTTTGTGGAATCTGCAAGTGGATATTTGTCTAGCTTTGAGGATTTCGTTGGAAACGGGATTACATATAAAAAGCAGACAGCAGCATTCTCAGAAACCTATTTGTGATGTGCGCCCTCAACTAACAGTGTTTAACCTTTCTTTTGATAGAGCAGTTTTGAAACACTCTTTTTGTAATATCTGCAAGAGGATATTTGGATAGCTTTGAGGATTTCGTTGGAAACGGTATTGTCTTCATATAAACTCTAGACAGAAGCATTCTCAGAAGCTTCATTGGGATGTTTCAATTGAAGTCACAGTGTTGAACAGTCCCTTTCATAGAGCAGGTTTGAAACACTCTTTTTGTAGTATCTGGAAGTGGACATTTGGAGCGCTCTCAGGACTGCAGTGAAAAAGGAAATATCTTCCAATAAAAGCTAGATAGAAGCAATGTCAGAAACTTTTTCATGATGTATCTACTCAGCTAACAGAGTTGAACCTTTCTTTTGAGACAGCAGTTTTGAAACACTCTTTTTGTGGAATCTGCAAGTGGATATTTGTCTAGCTTTGAGGATTTCGTTGGAAACGGGATTACATATAAAAAGCAGACAACAGCATTCCCAGAAACTTCTTTGTGATGTTTGCATTCAAGTCACAGAGTTGAACATTCCCTTTCATAGAGCAGGTTTGAAACACTCTTTTTGTAGTATCTGGATGTGGACATTTGGAGCGCTTTCAGGCCTATGGTGAAAAAGGAAATATCTTCCCCTGAAAACTAGACAGAAGCATTATCAGAAACTTATTTGTGATGTGCGCCCTCAACTAGCAGTGTTGAAGCTTTCTTTTGATAGAGCAGTTTTGAAACACTCTTTTTGTAATATCTGCAAGAGGATATTTGGATAGCTTTGAGGATTTCGTTGGAAACGGGATTGTCTTCATATAAACTCTAGACAGAAGCATTCCCAAAAACTTCTTTGTGATGTTTGCATTCAAGTCCCAGGAGTTGAACATTCCCTTTCATAGAGCAGGTTTGAAACACTCTTTTTGTAGTATCTGGATGTGGACATTTGGAGCACTTTCAGGCCTATGGTGAAAAAGGAAATATCTTCCTCTGAAAACTAGACAGAAGCATTCTCAGAAACTTATTTGTGATGTGCGCCCTCAACTAACAGTGTTGAAGCTTTCTTTTGATAGAGCAGTTTTGAAACACTCTTTTTGTGGAATCTGCAAGTGGATATTTGTCTAGCTTTGAGGATTTCGTTGGAAACGGGAATACATATAAAAAGCAGACAGCAGCATTCTCAGTAAACTTATTTGTGATGTGCGCCCTCAACTAACAGTGTTGAACCTTTCTTTTGATAGAGCAGTTTTGAAACACTCTTTTTGTAATATCTGCAAGAGGATATTTGGATAGCTTTGAGGATTTCGTTGGAAACGGGATTGTCTTCATATAAACTCTAGACAGAAGCATTCTCAGAAGCTTCATTGGGATGTTTCAATTGAAGTCACAGTGTTGAACAGTTCCTTTCATAGAACAGGTTTGAAACACTCTTTTTGTAGTATCTGGAAGTGGACATTTGGAGCGCTCTCAGGACTATGGTGAAAAAGGAAATATCTTCCAATAAAAGCTACATAGAAGCAATGTCAGAAACTTTTTCATGATGTATCTACTCAGCTAACAGAGTTGAACCTTCCTTTGAGAGAGCAGTTTTGAAACACTCTTTTTGTGGAATCTGCAAGTGGATATTTGTCTAGCTTTGAGGATTTCGTTGGAAACGGGATTACATATAAAAAGCAGACAGCAGCATTCCCAAAAACTTCTTTGTGATGTTTGCATTCAAGTCCCAGAGTTGAACATTCCCTTTCATAGAGCAGGTTTGAAACACTCTTTTTGTAGTATCTGGATGTGGACATTTGGAGCACTTTCAGGCCTATGGTGAAAAAGGAAATATCTTCCTCTGAAAACTAGACAGAAGCATTCTGAGAAACTTATTTGTGATGTGCGCCCTCAACTAACAGTGTTGAACCTTTCTTTTGATAGAGTAGTTTTGAAACACTCTTTTTGTAAAATCTGCAAGAGGATATTTGGATAGCTTTGAGGATTTCGTTGGAAACGGGATTGTCTTCATATAAAGTCTAGACAGAAGCATTCTCAGAAGCTTCATTGGGATGTTTCAATTGAAGTCACAGTGTTGAACAGTCCCTTTCATAGAGCAGGTTTGAAACACTCTTTTTGTAGTATCTGGATGTGGACATTTGGAGCGCTTTCAGGCCTATGGTGAAAAAGGAAATATCTTCCCCTGAAAACTAGACAGAAGCATTCTCAGAAACTTATTTGTGATGTGCGCCCTCAACTAACAGTGTTGAAGCTTTCTTTTGACAGAGCAGTTTTCAAACACTCTTTTTGTGGAATCTGCAAGTGGATATTTGTCTAGCTTTGAGGATTTCGTTGGAAACGGGATTACATATAAAAAGCAGACAGCAGCATTCCCAGAATCTTGTTTGTGATGTTTGCATTCAAGTCACAGAGTTGAACATTCCCTTTCAGAGAGCAGGTTTGAAACACTCTTTTTATAGTATCTAGATGTGGACATTTGGAGCGCTTTCAGGCCTATGGTGAAAAAGGAAATATCTTCTCCTGAAAAGTAGACAGAAGCATTCTCAGAAGCTTCATTGGGATGTTTCAATTGAAGTCACAGTGTTGAACAGTCCCTTTCATAGAGCAGGTTTGAAACACTCTTTGTGTAGTATCTGGAAGTGGACATTTGGAGCGCTCTCAGGACTGTGGTGAAAAAGGAAATATCTTCCAATAAAAGCTAGATAGAAGCAATGTCAGAAACTTTTTCATGATGTATCTACTCAGCTAACAGAGTTGAACCTTTCTTTTGAGAGAGCAGTTTTGAAACACTCTTTTTGTGGAATCTGCAAGTGGATATTTGTCTAGCTTTGAGGATTTCGTTGGAAACGGGATTACATATAAAAAGCAGACAGCAGCATTCCCAGAAACTTCTTTGTGATGTTTGCATTCAAGTCACAGAGTTGAACATTCCCTTTCATAGAGCAGGTTTGAAACACTCTTTTTGTAGTATCTGAATGTGGACATTTGCAGCGCTTTCAGGCCTATGGTGAAAAAGGAAATATCTTCCCCTGAAAACTAGACAGAAGCATTCTCAGAAACTTATTTGTGATGTGCGCCCTCAACTAACAGTGTTGAACTTTTCTTTTGATAGAGCAGTTTTGAAACACTCTTTTTGTAAAATCTGCAAGAGGATATTTGGATAGCTTTGAGGATTTCGTTGGAAACGGGATTGTCTTCATATAAAATCTAGACAGAAGCATTCTCAGAAGCCTCATTGGGATGTTTCAATTGAAGTCACAGTGTTGAACAGTCCCTTTCATAGAGCAGATTTGAAACACTCTTTTTGTAGTATCTGGATGTGGACATTTGGAGCGCTTTCAGGCCTATGGTTTAAAAGGAAATATCTTCCCCTGAAAACTAGACAGAAGCATTCTCAGAAACTTATTTGTGATGTGCGCCCTCAACTAACAGTGTTGAAGCTTTCTTTTGATAGAGCAGTTTTGAAACACTCTTTTTGTGGAATCTGCAAGTGGATGTTTGTCTAGCTTTGAGGATTTCGTTGGAAACGGGATTACATATAAAAAGCAGACAGCAGCATTCTCAGAAACTTATTTGTGATGTGCGCCCTCAACTAACAGTGTTGAAGCTTTCTTTTGATAGAGCAGTTTTGAAACACTCTTTTTGTAATATCTGCAAGAGGATATTTGGATAGCTTTGAGGATTTCGTTGGAAACGGGATTAATTATACAAAGCAGACAGCCGCATTCTCAGAAGCTTCATTGGGATGTTTCAATTGAAGTCACAGTGTTGAACAGTCCCTTTCATAGAGCAGGTTTGAAACACTCTTTTTGTAGTATCTGGAAGTGGACATTTGGAGAGATCTCAGGAATACGGTGATAAAGGAAATATCTTCCAATAAAAGCTAGATAGAAGCAATGTCAGAAAATCTTTCATGATGTATCTACTCAGCTAACAGAGCTGAACCTTTCTTTTGAGAGAGCCGTTTTGAAACACTCTTTTTGTGGAATCTGCAAGTGGATATTTGTATAGCTTTGAGGATTTCGTTGGAAACGGGATTACATATAAAAAGCAGACAGCAGCATTCCCAGAATCTTCTTTGTGATGTTTGCATTCAAGTCACAGAGTTGAACATTCCCTTTCATAGAGCAGGTTTGAAACACTCTTTTTGTAGTATCTGGATGTGGACATTTGGAGCGCTTTCAGGCCTATGGTGAAAAAGGAAATATCTTCCCCTGAAAACTAGACAGAAGCATTCTCAGAATCTTATTTGTGATGTGCGCCCTCAACTAACAGTGTTGAAGCTTTCTTTTGATAGAGCAGTTTTGAAACACTCTTTTTGTGAAATCTGCAAGAGGATATTTGGATAGCTTTGAGGATTTCGTTGGAAACGGTATTGTCTTCATATAAACTCTAGACAGAAGCATTCTCAGAAGCGTCATTGGGATGTTTCAATTGAAGTCACAGTGTTGAACAGTCCCTTTCATAGAGCAGGTTTGAAACACTCTTTTTGTAGTATCTGGATGTGGACATTTGGAGCGCTTTCAGGCCTATGGTTTAAAAGGAAATATCTTCCCCTGAAAACTAGACAGAAGCATTCTCAGAAACTTATTTGTGATTTGCGCCCTCAACTAACAGTGTTGAAGCATTCTTTTGATAGAGCAGTTTTGAAACACTCTTTTTGTGGAATCTGCAAGTGGATATTTGTCTAGCTTTGAGGATTTCGTTGGAAACGGGATTACATATAAAAAGCAGACAGCAGCATTCTCAGTAAACTTATTTGTGATGTGCGCCCTCAACTAACAGTGTTGAACCTTTCTTTTGATAGAGCAGTTTTGAAACACTCTTTTTGTAATATCTGCAAGAGGATATTTGGATAGCTTTGAGGATTTCGTTGGAAACGGGATTGTCTTCATATAAACTCTAGACAGAAGCATTCTCAGAAGCTTCATTGGGATGTTTCAATTGAAGTCACAGTGTTGAACAGTCCCTTTCATAGAGCAGGTTTGAAACACTCTTTTTGTAGTATCTGGAAGTGGACATTTGGAGCGCTCTCAGGACTGCGGTGAAAAAGGAAATATCTTCCAATAAAAGCTAGATAGAAGCAATGTCAGAAACTTTTTCATGATGTATCTACTCAGCTAACAGAGTTGAACCTTCCTTTGAGAGAGCAGTTTTGAAACACTCTTTTTGTGGAATCTGCAAGTGGATATTTGTCTAGCTTTGAGGATTTCTTTGGAAACGGGATTACATATAAAAAGCAGCCAGCAGCATTCCCAGAAACTTCTTTGTGATGTTTGCATTCAAGTCACAGAGTTGAACATTCCCTTTCATAGAGCAGGTTTGAAACACTCTTTTTGTAGTATCTGGATGTGGACATTTGCAGCGCTTTCAGGCCTAAGGTGAAAAAGGAAATATCTTCTCCTGAAAACTAGACAGAAGCATTCTCAGAAACTTATTTGTGATGTGCGCCCTCAACTAACAGTGTTGAAGCTTTCTTTTGATAGAGCAGTTTTGAAACACTCTTTTTGTAATATCTGCAAGAGGATATTTGGATAGCTTTGAGGATTTCGTTGGAAACGGGATTGTCTTCATATAAACTCTAGGCAGAAGAATTCTCAGAAGCTTCATTGGATGTTTCAATTGAAGTCACAGTGTTGAACAGTCCCTTTCATAGAGCAGGTTTGAAACACTCTTTTTGTAGTATCTGGAAGTGGACATTTGGAGCGATCACAGTACTACGGTGAAAAAGGAAATATCTTCCAATAAAAGCTACATAGAAGCAATGTCAGAAACTTTTTCATGATGTATCTACTCAGCTAACAGAGTTGAACCTTTCTTTTGAGAGAGCAGTTTTGAAACACTCTTTTTGTGGAATCTGCAAGTGGATATTTGTCTAGCTTTGAGGATTTCGTTGGAAACGGGATTACATATAAAAAGCAGACAGCAGCATTCCCAGCAAACTTCTTTGTGATGTTTGCATTCAAGTCACAGAGTTGAACATTCCCTTTCAGAGAGCAGGTTTGAAACACTCTTTTTGTAGTATCTGGATGTGGACATTTGGAGCGCTTTCAGGCCTATGTTGAAAAAGTAAATATCTTCCCCTGAAAACTAGACAGAAGCATTCTCAGAAACTTATTTGTGATGTGCGCCCTCAACTAACAGTGTTGAACTTTTCTTTTGATAGAGCAGTTTTGAAACACTCTTTTTGTAAAATCTGCAAGAGGATATTTGGATAGCTTTGAGGATTTCGTTGGAAACGGGATTGTCTTCATATAAAATCTAGACAGAAGAATTCTCAGAAGCTTCATTGGGATGTTTCAATTGAAGTCACAGTGTTGAACAGTCCCTTTCATAGAGCAGGTTTGAAACACTCTTTTTGTAGTATCTGGATGTGGACATTTGGAGCTTTTGCAGGCCTATAGTTTAAAAGGAAATATCTTCCCCTGAAAACTAGACAGAAGCATTCTCAGAATCTTATTTGTGATGTGCGCCCTCAACTAACAGTGTTGAAGCTTTCTTTTGATAGAGCAGTTTTGAAACACTCTTTTTGTGGAATCTGCAAGTGGATATTTGTCTAGTTTTGAGGATTTCGTTGGAAACGGGATTACATATAAAAAGCAGACAGCAGCATTCTCAGAAACTTATTTGTGATGTGCGCCCTCAACTAACAGTGTTGAAGCTTTATTTTGATAGAGCAGTTTTGAAACACTCTTTTTGTAATATCTGCAAGAGAATATTTGGATAGCTTTGAGGATTTCGTTGGAAACGGGATTGTCTTCATATAAACTCTAGAAAGAAGCATTCTCAGAAGCTTCATTGGGATGTTTCAATTGAAGTCACAGTGTTGAACAGTCCCTTTCATAGAGCAGGTTTGAAACACTCTTTTTGTTGTATCTGGAAGTGGACATTTGGAGAGATCTCAGGAATACGGTGATAAAGGAAATATCTTCCAATAAAAGCTAGATAGAAGCAATGTCAGAAACTTTTTCATGATGTATCTACTCAGCTAACAGAGTTGAACCTTTCCTTTGAGAGAGCAGTTTTGAAACACTCTTTTTGTGGAATCTGCAAGTGGATATTTGTCTAGCTTTGAGGATTTCGTTGGAAACGGGATTACATATAAAAAGCAGACAGCAGCATTCCCAGTAACTTCTTTGTGATGTTTGCATTCAAGTCACAGAGTTGAACATTCCCTTTCATAGAGCAGGTTTGAAACACTCTTTTTGTAGTATCTGGATGTGGACATTTGGAGCGCTTTCAGGCCTATGGTGAAAAAGGAAATATGTTCCCCTGAAAACTAGACAGAAGCATTCTCAGAATCTTATTTGTGATGTGCGCCCTCAACTAACAGTGTTGAAGCTTTCTTTTGATAGAGCAGTTTTGAAACACTCTTTTTGTAAAATCTGCAAGAGGATATTTGGATAGCTTTGAGGATTTCGTTGGAAACGGGATTGTCTTCATATAAACTCTAGACAGAAGCATTCTCAGAAGCTTCATTGGGATGTTTCAATTGAAGTCACAGTGTTGAAAAGTCCCTTTCATAGAGCAGGTTTGAAACACTCTTTTTATAGTAGCTGGAAGTGGACATTTGGAGAGATCTCAGGAATAGAGTGATAAAGGAAATATCTTCCAATAAAAGCTAGATAGAAGCAATGTCAGAAACTTTTTCATGATGTATCTACTCAGCTAACAGAGTTGAACCTTTCTTTTGAGAGAGCAGTTTTGAAACACTCTTTTTCTGGAATCTGCAAGTGGATATTTGTCTAGCTTTGAGGATTTCGTTGGAAACAGGATTACATATAAAAAGCAGACAGCAGCATTCCCAGAATCTTCTTTGTGATGTTTGCATTCAAGTCACAGAGTTCAACATTCCCTTTCATAGAGCAGCTTTGAAACACTCTTTTTATAGTATCTGGATGTGGACATTTGGAGCGCTTTCAGGCCTATGGTGAAAAAGGAAATATCTTCTCCTGAAAACTAGACAGAAGCATTCTCAGAAACTTATTTGTGATGTGCGCCCTCAACTAACAGTGTTGAAGCTTTCTTTTGATAGAGCAGTTTTGAGACACACTTTTTGTAAAATCTGCAAGAGGATATTTGGATAGCTTTGAGGATTTCGTTGGAAACGGGATTGTCTTCATATAAACTCTAGACAGAAGCATTCTCAGAAGCTTCATTGGGATGTTTCAATTGAAGTCACAGTGTTGAACAGTCCCTTTCATAGAGCAGGTTTGAAACACTCTTTTTGTAGTATCTGGATGTGGACATTTGGAGCGCTTTCAGGCCTATGGTGAAAAAGGAAATATCTTCCCCTGAAAACTAGACAGAAGCATTCTCAGAAACTTATTTGTGATGTGCGCCCTCAACTAACAGTGTTGAAGCTTTCTTTTGATAGAGCAGTTTTGAAACACTCTTTTTGTGGAATCTGCAAGTGGATATTTGTCTAGCTTTGAGGATTTCGTTGGAAACGGGATTACATATAAAAAGCAGACAGCAGCATTCTCAGTAAACTTATTTGTGATGTGCGCCCTCAACTAACAGTGTTGAACCTTTCTTTTGATAGAGCAGTTTTGAAACACTCTTTTTGTAATATCTGCAAGAGGATATTTGGATAGCTTTGAGGATTTCGTTGGAAACGGGATTGTCTTCATATAAACTCTAGACAGAAGCATTCTCAGAAGCTTCATTGGGATGTTTCAATTGAAGTCACAGTGTTGAACAGTCCCTTTCATAGAGCAGGTTTGAAACACTCTTTTTGTAGTATCTGGAAGTGGACATTTGGAGCGCTCTCAGGACTGCGGTGAAAAAGGAAATATCTTCCAATAAAGGCTACATAGAAGCAATGTCAGAAACTTTTTCATGATGTATCTACTCAGCTAACAGAGTTGAACCTTTCTTTTGAGAGAGCAGTTTTGAAACACTCTTTTTGTGGAATCTGCAAGTGGATATTTGTCTAGCTTTGAGGATTTCCTTGGAAACGGGATTACATATAAAAAGCAGACAGCAGCATTCCCAGAAACTTCTTTGTGATGTTTGCATTCAAGTCACAGAGTTGAACATTCCCTTTCATAGAGCAGGTTTGAAACACTCTTTTTGTAGTATCTGGATGTGGACATTTGGAGTGCTTTCAAGCCTATGGTGAAAAAGGAAATATCTTCCCCTGAAAACTAGACAGAAGCATTCTCAGAATCTTATTTGTGATGTGCGCCCTCAACTAACAGTGTTGAAGCTTTCTTTTGATAGAGCAGTTTTGAAACACTCTTTTTGTAAAATCTGCAAGAGGATATTTGGATAGCTTTGAGGATTTCGTTGGAAACGGGATTGTCTTCATATAAACTCTAGACAGAAGCATTCTCAGAAGCTTCATTGGGATGTTTCAATTGAAGTCACAGTGTTGAACAGTCCCTTTCATAGAGCAGGTTTGAAACACTCTTTTTGTAGTATCTGGATGTGGACATTTGGAGCGCTTTCAGGCCTATGGTTTAAAAGGAAATATCTTCCCCTGAAAACTAGACAGAAGCATTCTCAGAAACTTATTTGTGATGTGCGCCCTCAACTAACAGTGTTGAACCTTTCTTTTGATAGAGCAGTTTTGAAACACTCTTTTTGTAATATCTGCAAGAGGATATTTGGATAGCTTTGAGGATTTCGTTGGAAACGGGATTACATATAAAAAGCAGACAGCAGCATTCTAAGAATCTTATTTGTGATGTGCGCCCTCAACTAACAGTGTTGAAGCTTTCTTTTGATAGAGCAGTTTTGAAACACTCTTTTTGTAATATCTGCAAGAGGATATTTGGATAGCTTTGAGGATTTCGTTGGAAACGGGATTGTCTTCATATAAACTCTAGACAGAAGCATTCTCAGAAGCTTCATTGGGATGTTTCAATTGAAGTCACACTGTTGAACAGTTCCTTTCATAGAACAGGTTTGAAACACTCTTTTTGTAGTATCTGGAAGTGGACATTTTGAGCGCTCTCAGGACTATGGTGAAAAAGGAAATAACTTCCAATAAAAGCTACATAGAAGCAATGTCAGAAACTTTTTCATGATGTATCTACTCAGCTAACAGAGTTGAACCTTTCCTTTGAGAGAGCAGTTTTGAAACACTCTTTTTGTGGAATCTGCAAGTGGATATTTGTCTAGCTTTGAGGATTTCGTTGGAAACGGGATTACATATAAAAAGCAGACAGCAGCATTCCCAGAATCTTGTTTGTGATGTTTGCATTCAAGTCACAGAGTTGAACATTCCCTTTCAGAGCAGCAGGTTTGAAACACTCTTTTTATAGTATCTGGATGTGGACATTTGGAGCGCTTTCAGGCCTATGGTGAAAAAGGAAATATCTTCTCCTGAAAACTAGACAGAAGCATTCTCAGAAACTTATTTGTGATGTGCGCCCTCAACTAACACTGTTGAACCTTTCTTTTGATAGAGCAGTTTTGAAACACTCTTTTTGTAATATCTGCAAGAGGATATTTGGATAGCTTTGAGGATTTCGTTGGAAACGGGATTGTCTTCATATAAACTCTAGACAGAAGCATTCTCAGAAGCTTCATATGGGATGTTTCAATTGAAGTCACAGTGTTGAACAGTCCCTTTCATAGAGCAGGTTTGAAACACTCTTTTTGTAGTATCTGGATGTGGACATTTGCAGCGCTTTCAGGCCTAAGGTGAAAAAGGAAATATCTTCCCCTGAAAACTAGACAGAAGCATTCTCAGAAACTTATTTGTGATGTGCCCCCTCAACTAACAGTGTTGAAGCTTTCTTTTGATAGAGCAGTTTTGAAACACTCTTTTTGTGGAATCTGCAAGTGGATATTTGTCTAGCTTTGAGGATTTCGTTGGAAACGGGATTACATATAAAAAGCAGACAGCAGCATTCTCAGTAAACTTATTTGTGATGTGCGCCCTCAACTAACAGTGTTGAACCTTTCTTTTGATAGAGCAGTTTTGAAACACTCTTTTTGTAATATCTGCAAGAGGATATTTGGATAGCTTTGAGGATTTCGTTGGAAACGGGATTGTCTTCATATAAACTCTAGACAGAAGCATTCTCAGAAGCTTCATTGGGATGTTTCAATTGAAGTCACAGTGTTGAACAGTCCCTTTCATAGAGCAGGTTTGAAACACTCTTTTTGTAGTATCTGGAAGTGGACATTTGGAACGCTCTCAGGACTGCGGTGAAAAAGGAAATATCTTCCAATAAAAGCTAGATAGAAGCAATGGCAGAAACTTTTTCATGATGTATCTACTCAGCTAACAGAGTTGAACCTTTTTTTTGAGAGAGCAGTTTTGAAACACTCTTTTTGTTGGATCTGCAGGTGGATATTTGTCTAGCTTTGAGGATTTCGTTGGAAACGGGATTACATATAAAAAGCAGACAGCAGCATTCCCAGAAACTTCTTTGTGATGTTTGCATTCAAGTCACAGAGTTGAACATTCTCTTTCATAGAGCAGGTTTGAAACACTCTTTTTGTAGTATCTGGATGTGGACATTTGGAGCGCTCTCAGGCCTATGGTGAAAAAGGAAATATCTTCCCCTGAAAACTAGACAGAAGCATTCTCAGAAACTTATTTGTGATGTGCGCCCTCAACTAACAGTGTTGAACTTTTCTTTTAATAGAGCAGTTTTGAAACACTCTTTTTGTAAAATCTGCAAGAGGATATTTGGATAGCTTTGAGGATTTCTTTGGAAACGGGATTGTCTTCATATAAAATCTAGACAGAAGCATTCTCAGAAGCTTCATTGGGATGTTTCAATTGAAGTCACAGTGTTGAACAGTCCCTTTCATAGAGCAGGTTTGAAACACTCTTTTTGTAGTATCTGGATGTGGACATTTGGAGCGCTTTCAGGCCTATGGTGAAAAAGGAAATATCTTCCCCTGAAAACTAGACAGAAGCATTCTCAGAAACTTATTTGTGATGTGCGCCCTCAACTAACAGTGTTGAAGCTTTCTTTTGATAGAGCAGTTTTGAAACACTCTTTTTGTGGAATCTGCAAGTGGATATTTGTCTAGCTTTGAGGATTTCGTTGGAAACGGGATTACATATAAAAAGCAGACAGCAGCATTCTCAGAAACTTATTTGTGATGTGCGCCCTCAACTAACAGTGTTGAAGCTTTCTTTTGATAGAGCAGTTTTGAAACACTCTTTTTGTAATATCTGCAAGAGGATATTTGGATAGCTTTGAGGATTTCGTTGGAAACGGGATTAATTATACAAAGCAGACAGCAGCATTCTCAGAAGCTTCATTGGGATGTTTCAATTGAAGTCACAGTGTTGAACAGTTCCTTTCATAGAACAGGTTTGAAACACTCTTTTTGTAGTATCTGGAAGTGGACATTTGGAGCGCTCTCAGGACTATGGTGAAAAAGGAAATATCTTCCAATAAAAGCTACATAGAAGCAATGTCAGAAACTTCTTCATGATGTATCTACTCAGCTAACAGAGTTGAACCTTTTTTTTGAGAGAGCAGTTTTGAAACACTCTTTTTGTGGAATCTGCAAGTGGATATTTGTCTAGCTTTGAGGATTTCGTTGGAAACGGGATTACATATAAAAAGCAGACAGCAGCATTCCCAGAAACTTCTTTGTGACGTTTGCATTCAAGTCACAGAGTTGAACATTCCCTTTCATAGAGCAGGTTTGAAACACTCTTTTTGTAGTATCTGGATGTGGACATTTGGAGCGCTTTCAGGCCTATGGTGAAAAAGGAAATATCTTCCCCTGAAAACTAGACAGAAGCATTCTCAGAATCTTATTTTTGATTAGCGCCCTCAACTAACAGTGTTGAAGCTTTCTTTTGATAGAGCAGTTTTGAAACACTCTTTTCGTAAAATCTGCAAGAGGATATTTTGATAGCTTTGAGGATTTTGTTGGAAACGGGATTGTCTTCATATAAACTCTAGACAGAAGCATTCTCAGAAGCTTCATTGGGATGTTTCAATTGAAGTTACAGTGTTGAACAGTCTCTTTCATAGAGCAGGTTTGAAACACTCTTTTTGTAGTATCTGGATGTGGACATTTGGAGCGCTTTCAGGCCTATGGTTTAAAAGGAAATATCTTCCCCTGAAAACTAGACAGAAGCATTCTCAGAAACTTATTTGTGATGTGCGCCCTCAACTAACAGTGTTGAAGCTTTCTTTTGATAGAGCAGTTTTGAAAAACTCTTTTTGTGGAATCTGCAAGTGGATATTTGTCTAGCTTTGAGGATTTCGTTGGAAACGGGATTACATATAAAAAGCAGACAGCAGCATTCTCAGTAAACTTATTTGTGATGTGCGCCCTCAACTAACAGTGTTGAACCTTTCTTTTGATAGAGCAGTTTTGAAACACTCTTTTTGTAATATCTGCAAGAGGATATTTGGATAGCTTTGAGGATTTCGTTGGAAACGGGATTGTCTTCATATAAACTCTAGACAGAAGCATTCTCAGAAGCTTCATTGGGATGTTTCAATTGAAGTCACAGTGTTGAACAGTCCCTTTCATAGAGCAGGTTTGAAACACTCTTTTTGTAGTATCTGGAAGTGGACATTTGGAGCGCTCTCAGGACTACGGTGAAAAAGGAAATACCTTCCAATAAAAGCTAGATAGAAGAAATGTCAGAAACTTTTTCATGATGTATCTACTCAGCTAACAGAGTTGAACCTTTCTTTTGAGAGAGCAGTTTTGAAACACTCTTTTTGTGGAATCTGCAAGTGGATATTTGTCTAGCTTTGAGGATTTCGTTGGAAACGGGATTACATATAAAAAGCAGACAGCAGCATTCCCAGAAACTTCTTTGTGATATTTGCATTCAAGTCACAGAGTTGAACATTCCCTTTCATAGAGCAGGTTTGAAACACTCTTTTTGTAGTATCTGGATGTGGACATTTGGAGCGCTTTCAGGCCTATGGTGAAAAAGGAAATATCTTTCCCTGAAAACTAGACAGAAGCATTCTCAGAAACCTATTTGTGATGTGCGCCCTCAACTAACAGTGTTGAACCTTTCTTTTGATAGAGCAGTTTTGAAACACTCTTTTTGTAATATCTGCAAGAGGATATTTGGATAGCTTTGAGGATTTCGTTGGAAACGGGATTGTCTTCATATAAACTCTAGACAGAAGCATTCTCAGAAGCTTCATTGGGATGTTTCAATTGAAGTCACAGTGTTGAACAGTCCCTTTCATAGAGCAGGTTTGAAACACTCTTTTTGTAGTATCTGGATGTGGACATTTCGAGCGCTTTCAGGCCTATGGTGAAAAAGGAAATATCTTCCCCTGAAAACTAGACAGAAGCATTCTCAGAAACTTATTTGTGATGTGCGCCCTCAACTAACAGTGTTGAAGCTTTCTTTTGATAGAGCAGTTTTGAAAAACTCTTTTTGTGGAATCTGCAAGTGGATATTTGTCTAGCTTTGAGGATTTCGTTGGAAACGGGATTACATATAAAAAGCAGACAGCAGCATTCTCAGAAACTTATTTGTGATGTGCGCCCTCAACTAACAGTGTTGAAGCTTTCTTTTGATAGAGCAGTTTTGAAACACTCTTTTTGTAATATCTGCAAGAGGATATTTGGATAGCTTTGAGGATTTCGTTGGAAACGGGATTAATTATACAAAGCAGACAGCAGCATTCTCAGAAGCTTCATTGGGATGTTTCAATTGAAGTCACAGTGTTGAACAGTCCCTTTCATAGAGCAGGTTTGAAACACTCTTTTTGTAGTATCTGGAAGTGGACATTTGGAGAGATCTCAGGAATACGGTGATAAAGGAATTATCTTCCAATAAAAGCTAGATAGAAGCAATGTCAGAAACTTTTTCATGATGTATCTACTCAGCTAACAGAGTTGAACCTTCCTTTGAGAGAGCAGTTTTGAAACACTCGTTTTGTGGAATCTGCAAGTGGATATTTGTCTAGCTTTGAGGATTTCGTTGGAAACGGGATTACATATAAAAAGCAGACAGCAGCATTCCCAGAAACTTCTTTGTGATGTTTGCATTCAAGTCACAGAGTTGAACATTCCCTTTCATAGAGCAGGTTTGAAACACTCTTTTTGTAGTATCTGGATGTGGACATTTGGAGCGCTTTCAGGCCTATGGTGAAAAAGGAAATATCTTCCCCTGAAAACTAGACAGAAGCATTCTCAGAAACTTATTTGTGATGTGCGCCGTCAACTAACAGTGTTGAACCTTTCTTTTGATAGAGCAGTTTTGAAACACGCTTTTTGTAAAATCTGCAAGAAGATATTTGGATAGCTTTGAGTATTTCGTTGGAAACGGGATTGTCTTCATATAAACTCTAGACAGTAGCATTCTCAGAAGCTTCATTGGGATGTTTCAATTGAAGTCACAGTGTTGAACAGTCCCTTTCATAGAGCAGGTTTGAAACACTCTTTTTGTAGAATCTGGATGTGGACATTTGGAGCGCTTTCAGGCATAAGGTGAAAAAGGAAATATCTTCCCCTGAAAACTAGACAGAAGCATTCTCAGAAACTTATTTGTGATGTGCGCCCTCAACTAACAGTGTTGAAGCTTTCTTTTGATAGAGCAGTTTTGAAACACTCTTTTTGTAATATCTGCAAGAGGATATTTGGATAGCTTTGAGGATTTCGTTGGAAACGGGATTAATTATACAAAGCAGACAGCAGCATTCTCAGAAACTTATTTGTGATGTGCGCCCTCAACTAACAGTGTTGAAGCTTTATTTTGATAGAGCAGTTTTGAAACACTCTTTTTGTAATATCTGCAAGAGAATATTTGGATAGCTTTGAGGATTTCGTTGGAAACGGGATTGTCTTCATATAAACTCTAGAAAGAAGCATTCTCAGAAGCTTCATTGGGATGTTTCAATTGAAGTCACAGTGTTGAACAGTCCCTTTCATAGGGCAGGTTGGAAACACTCTTTTTGTAGTATCTGGAAGTGGACATTTGGAGAGATCTCAGGAATACGGTGATAAAGGAAATATCTTCCAATAAAAGCTAGATAGAAGCAATGTCAGAATCTTTTTCATGATGTGTCTACTCAGCTAACAGAGTTGAACCTTCCTTTGAGAGAGCAGTTTTGAAACACTCTTTTTGTGGAATCTGCAAGTGGATATTTGTCTAGCTTTGAGGATTTCGTTGGAAACGGGATTACATATAAAAAGCAGACAGCAGCATTCCCAGGAACTTCTTTGTGATGTTTGCATTCAAGTCACAGAGTTGAACATTCCCTTTCATAGAGCAGGTTTGAAACACTCTTTTTGTAGTATCTGGATGTGGACATTTGGAGCGCTTTCAGGCCTATGGTGAAAAAGGAAATATCTTCCCCTGAAAACTAGACAGAAGCATTCTCAGAAACTTATTTGTGATGTGCGCCCTCAACTAACAGTGTTGAAGCTTTCTTTTGATAGAGCAGTTTTGAAACACTCTTTTTGTGGAATCTGCAAGTGGATATTTGTCTAGATTTGAGGATTTCGTTGGAAACGGGATTACATATAAAAAGCAGACAGCAGCATTCCCAGAATCTTGTTTGTGATGTTTGCATTCATGTCACAGAGTTGAACATTCCCTTTCAGAGAGCAGGTTTGAAACACTCTTTTTATAGTATCTGGATGTGGACATTTGGAGCGCTTTCAGGCCTATGGTGAAAAAGGAAATATCTTCTCCTGAAAACTAGACAGAAGCATTCTCAGAATCTTATTTGTGATGTGCGCCCTCAACTAACAGTGTTGAAGCTTTCTTTTGATAGAGCAGTTTTGAAACACTCTTTTTGTAAAATCTGCAAGAGGATATTTGGATAGCTTTGAGGATTTCGTTGGAAACGGGATTGTCTTCATATAAACTGTAGACAGAAGCATTCTCAGAAGCATCATGGGGATGTTTCAATTGAAGTCACAATGTTGAACAGTCCCTTTCATAGAGCAGGATTGAAACACTCTTTTTGTAGTATCTGGATGTGGACATTTGAGCGCTTTCAGGCCTATGGTTTAAAAGGAAATATCTTCCCCTGAAAACTAGACAGAAGCATTCTCAGAAACTTATTTGTGATGTGCGCCCTCAACTAACAGTGTTGAAGCTTTCTTTTGATAGAGCAGTTTTGAAACACTCTTTTTGTGGAATCTGCAAGTGGATATTTGTCTAGCTTTGAGGATTTCGTTGGAAACGGGATTACATATAAAAAGCAGACAGCAGCATTCTCAGAAACTTATTTGTGATGTGCGCCCTCAACTAACAGTGTTGAAGCTTTCTTTTGATAGAGCAGTTTTGAAACACTCTTTTTGTAATATCTGCAAGAGGATATTTGGATAGCTTTGAGGATTTCGTTGGAAACGGGATTAATTATACAAAGCAGACAGCAGAATTCTCAGAAGCTTCATTGGGATGTTTCACTTGAAGTCACAGTGTTGAACAGTCCCTTTCATAGAGCAGGTTTGAAACACTCTTTTTGTAGTATCTGGAAGTGGACATTTGGAGCGCTCTCAGGACTACGGTGAAAAAGGAAATATCTACCAATAAAAGCTAGATAGAAGCAATGTCAGAAACTTTTTCATGATGTATCTACTCAGCTAACAGAGTTGAACCTTTCTTTTGAGAGAGCAGTTTTGAAACACTCTTTTTGTGGAATCTGCAAGTGGATATTTGTCTAGCATTGAGGATTTCGTTGGAAACGGGATTACATATAAAAAGCAGACAGCAGCATTCCCAGAAACTTCTTTGTGATGTTTGCATTCAAGTCACAGAGTTGAACATTCCCTTTCATAGAGCAGGTTTGAAACACTCTTTTTGTAGTATCTGGATGTGTACATTTGCAGCGCTTTCAGGCCTAAGGTGAAAAAGGAAATATCTTCCCCTGAAAACTAGACAGAAGCATTCTCAGAAACTTATTTGTGATGTGCGCCCTCAACTAACAGTGTTGAAGCTTTCTTTTGATAGAGCAGTTTTGAAACACTCTTTTTGTAATATCTGCAAGAGGATATTTGGATAGCTTTGAGGATTTCGTTGGAAACGGGATTGTCTTCATATAAACTCTAGGCAGAAGCATTCTCAGAAGCTTCATTGGGATGTTTCAATTGAAGTCACAGTGTTGAACAGTTCCTTTCATAGAACAGGTTTGAAACACTCTTTTTGTAGTATCTGGAAGTGGACATTTGGAGAGCTCTCAGGACTACGGTGAAAAAGGAAATATCTTCCAATAAAAGCTACATAGAAGCAATGTCAGAAAATTTTCATGATGTATCTACTCAGCTAACAGAGTTGAACCTTTCCTTTGAGAGAGCAGTTTTGAAACACTCTTTTTGTGGAATCTGCAAGTGGATATTTGTCTAGCTTTGAGGATTTCGTTGGAAACGGGATTACATATAAAAAGCAGACAGCAGCATTCCCAGAAACTTCTTTGTGATGTTTGCATTCAAGTCACAGAGTTGAACATTCCCTTTCATAGAGCAGGTTTGAAACACTCTTTTTGTAGTATCTGGATGTGGACATTTGGAGCGCTTTCAGGCCTATGGTGAAAAAGGAAATATCTTCCACTGAAAACTAGACAGAAGTAGTCTCAGAACCTTATTTGTGATGTGCGCCCTCAACTAACAGTGTTGAAGCTTTCTTTTGATAGAGCAGTTTTGAAACATTCTTTTTGTAAAATCTGCAAGAGGATATTTGGATAGCTTTGAGGATTTCGTTGGAAACGGGATTGTCTTCATATTAACCCTAGACATTAGCATTCTCAGAAGCTTCATTGGGATGTTTCAATTGAAGTCACAGTGTTGAACAGTCCCTTTCATAGAGCAGGTTTGAAACACTCTTTTTGTAGTATCTGGATGTGGACATTTGGAGCGCTTTCAGGCCTATGGTGAAAAAGGAAATATCTTCCCCTGAAAACTAGACAGAAGCATTCTCAGAAACTTATTTGTGATGTGCGCCCTCAACTAACAGTGTTGAATCTTTCTTTTGATCGAGGAGTTTTGAAACACTCTTTTTGTGGAATCTGGAAGTGGATATTTCTCTAGCTTTGAGGATTTCGTTGGAAACGGGATTACATATAAAAAGCAGACAGCAGCATTCTCAGTAAACTTATTTGTGATGTGCGCCCTCAACTAACAGTGTTGAACCTTTCTTTTGATAGAGCAGTTTTGAAACACTCTTTTTGTAATATCTGCAAGAGGATATTTGGATAGCTTTGAGGATTTCGTTGGAAACGGGATTGTCTTCATATAAACTCTAGACAGAAGCATTCTCAGAAGGTTCATTGGGATGTTTCAATTGAAGTCACAGTGTTGAACAGTCCCTTTGATAGAGCAGGTTTGAAACACTCTTTTTGTAGTATCTGGAAGTGGACATTTGGAGAGATCTCAGGAATACGGTGATAAAGGAAATAACTTCCAATAAAAGCTAGATAGAAGCAATGTCAGAAACTTTTTCATGATGTATCTACTCAGCTAACAGTGTTGAGGCATTCTTTTGATAGAGCAGTTTTGAAACACTCTTTTTGTGGAATCTGCAAGTGGATATTTGTCTAGCTTTGAGGATTTCGTTGGAAACGGGATTAATTATAAAAAGCAGACAGCAGCATTCCCAGAATCTTGTTTGTGATGTTTGCATTCAAGTCACAGAGTTGAACATTCCCTTTCAGAGAGCAGGTTTGAAACACTCTTTTTATAGTATCTGGATGTGGACATTTGGAGCGCTTTCAGGCCTATGATGAAAAAGGAAATATCTTCTCCTGAAAACTAGACAGAAGCATTCTCAGAAACTTATTTGTGATGTGCGCCGTCAACTAACAGTGTTGAAGCTTTCTTTTGACAGAGCAGTTTTGAAACATTCTTTTTGTAAAATCTGCAAGAGGATATTTGGATAGCTTTGAGTATTTCGTTGGAAACGGGATTGTCTTCATATAAACTCTAGACAATAGCATTCTCAGAAGCATCATTGGGATGTTTCAATTGAAGTCACAGTGTTGAACAGTCCCTTTCATAGAGCAGGTTTGAAACACTCTTTTTGTAGTATCTGGATGTGGACATTTGGAGCGCTTTCAGGCCTATGGTTTAAAAGGAAATATCTTCCCCTGAAAACTAGACAGAAGCATTCTTAGAAACTTATTTGTGATGTGCGCCCTCAACTAACAGTGTTGAAGCATTCTTTTGATAGAGCAGTTTTGAAACACTCTTTTTGTGGAATCTGCAAGTGGATATTTGTCTAGCTTTGAGGATTTCGTTGGAAACGGGATTACATATAAAAAGCAGACAGCAGCATTCTCAGTAAACTTATTTGTGATGTGCGCCCTCAACTAACAGTGTTGAACCTTTCTTTTGATAGAGCAGTTTTGAAACACTCTTTTTGTAATATCTGCAAGAGGATATTTGGATAGCTTTGAGGATTTCGTTGGAAACGGGATTGTCTTCATATAAACTCTAGACAGAAGCATTCTCAGTAAGCTTCATTGGGATGTTTCAATTGAAGTCACAGTGTTGAATAGTCCCTTTCATAGAGCAGGTTTGAAACACTCTTTTTGTAGTATCTGGAAGTGGACATTTGGAGCGTTCTGAGGACTACGGTGAAAAAGGAAATATCTTCCAATAAAAGCTAGATAGAAGCAATGTCAGAAACTTTTTCATGATGTATCTACTCAGCTAACAGAGTTGAACCTTCCTTTGAGAGAGCAGTTTTGAAACACTCTTTTTGTGGAATCTGCAAGTGGATATTTCTCTAGCTTTGAGGATTTCGCTGGAAACCGGATTACATATAAAAAGCAGACAGCAGCATTCCCAGAATCTTCTTTGTGATGTTTGCATTCAAGTCACAGAGTTGAACATTCCCTTTCATAGAGCAGGTTTGAAACACTCTTTTTGTAGTATCTGGATGTGGACATTTGGAGCGCTTTCAGGCCTATGGTGAAAAAGGAAATATCTTCCCCTGAAAACTAGACAGAAGCATTCTCAGAATCTTATTTGTGATGTGCGCCGTCAACTAACAGTGTTGAAGCTTTCTTTTGATAGAGCAGTTTTGAAACACTCTTTTCGTAAAATCTGCAGGAGGATATTTTGATAGCTTTGAGGATTTCGTTGGAAACGGGATTGTCTTCATATAAACTCTAGACAGAAGCATTCTCAGAAGCTTCATTGGGATGTTTCAATTGAAGTCACAGTGTTGAACAGTCCCTTTCATAGAGCAGGTTTGAAACACTCTTTTTGTAGTATCTGGATGTGGACATTTGGAGCGCTTTCAGGCCTATGGTGAAAAAGGAAATATCTTCCCCTGAAAACTAGACAGAAGCATTTTCAGAAACTTATTTGTGATGTGCGCCCTCAACTAACAGTGTTGAAGCTTTCTTTTGATAGAGCAGTTTTGAAACACTCTTTTTGTGGAATCTGCAAGTGGATGTTTGTCTAGCTTTGGGGATTTCGTTGGAAACGGGATTACATATATAAAGCAGACAGCAGCATTCTCAGTAAACTTATTTGTGATGTGCGCCCTCAACTAACAGTGTTGAACCTTTCTTTTGATAGAGCAGTTTTGAAACACTCTTTTTGTAATATCTGCAAGAGGATATTTGGATAGCTTTGAGGATTTCGTTGGAAACGGGATTGTCTTCATATAAACTCTAGACAGAAGCATTCTCAGAAGCTTCTTTGGGATGTTTCAATTGAAGTCACAGTGTTGAACAGTTCCTTTCATAGAACAGGTTTGAAACACTCTTTTTGTAGTATCTGGAAGTGGACATTTGGAGCGCTCTCAGGACTATGGTGAAAAAGGAAATATCTTCCAATAAAAGCTACATAGAAGCAATGTCAGAAACTTTTTCATGATGTATCTACTCAGCTAACAGAGTTGAACCTTCCTTTGAGAGAGCAGTTTTGAAACACTCGTTTTGTGGAATCTGCAAGTGGATATTTGTCTAGCTTTGAGGATTTCGTTGGAAACGGGATTACATATAAAAAGCAGACAGCAGCATTCCCAGAAACTTCTTTGTGATGTTTGCATTCAAGTCACAGAGTTGAACATTCCCTTTCATAGAGCAGGTTTGAAACACTCTTTTTGTAGTATCTGGATGTGGACATTTGGAGTGCTTTCAAGCCTATGGTGAAAAAGGAAATATCTTCCCCTGAAAACTAGACAGAAGCATTCTCAGAAACTTATTTGTGATGTGCGCCCTCAACTAACAGTGTTGAAGCTTTCTTTTGATAGAGCAGTTTTGAAACACTCTTTTTGTAATATCTGCAAGAGGATATTTGGATAGCTTTGAGGATTTCGTTGGAAACGGGATTGTCTTCATATAAACTCTAGACAGAAGCATTCTCAGAAGCTTCATTGGGATGTTTCAATTGAAGTTACAGTGTTGAACAGTCCCTTTCATAGAGCAGGTTTGAAACACTCTTTTTGTAGTATCTGGATGTGGACATTTGGAGCGCTTTCAGGCCTATGGTTTAAAAGGAAATATCTTCCCCTGAAAACTAGACAGAAGCATTCTCAGAAACTTATTTGTGATGTGCGTCCTCAACTAACAGTGTTGAAGCATTCTTTTGATAGAGCAGTTTTGAAACACTCTTTTTGTGGAATCTGCAAGTGGATATTTGTCTAGCTTTGAGGATTTCGTTGGAAACGGGATTACATATAAAAAGCAGACAGTAGCATTCTCAGTAAACTTATTTGTGATGTGCGCCCTCAACTAACAGTGTTGAACCTTTCTTTTGATAGAGCAGTTTTGAAACACTCTTTTTGTAATATCTGCAAGAGGATATTTGGATAGCTTTGAGGATTTCGTTGGAAACGGGATTGTCTTCATATAAACTCTAGACAGAAGCATTCTCAGAAGCTTCATTGGGATGTTTCAATTGAAGTCACAGTGTTGAACAGTCCCTTTCATAGAGCAGGTTTGAAACACTCTTTTTGTAGTATCTGGAAGTGGACATTAGGAACGCTCTCAGGACTGCGTTGAAAAAGGAAATATCTTCCAGTAAAAGCTAGATAGAAGCAATGTCAGAAACTTTTTCATGATGTATCTACTCAGCTAACAGAGTTGAACCTTCATTTGAGAGAGCAGTTTTGAAACACTCGTTTTGTGGAATCTGCAAGTGGATATTTGTCTAGCTTTGAGGATTTCGTTGGAAACGGGATTACATATAAAAAGCAGACAGCAGCATTCCCAGAAAGTTCTTTGTGAAATTTGCATTCATGTCACAGACTTGAACATTCCCTTTCATAGAGCAGGTTTGAAACACTCTTTTTGTAGTATCTGGATGTGGACATTTGGAGCGCTTTCAGGCCTATGGTGAAAAAGGAAATATCTTCCCCTGAATACTAGACAGAAGCATTCTGAGAAACTTATTTGTGATGTGCGCCCTCAACTAACAGTGTTGAACCTTTCTTTTGATAAAGCAGTTTTGAAACACTCTTTTTGTAAAATCTGCAAGAGGATACTTGGATAGCTTTGAGGATTTCGTTGGAAACGGGATTGTCTTCATATAGAATCTAGACAGAAGCATTCCCAGTAACTTCTTTGTGATGTTTGCATTCAAGTCACAGAGTTGAATATTCCCTTTCATAGAGCAGGTTTGAAACACTCTTTTTGTAGTATCTGGATGTGGACATTTGGAGTGCTTTCAGGCCTATGGTGAAAAAGGAAATATCTTCCCCTGAAAACTAGACAGAAGCATTCTCAGAAACTTATTTGTGATGTGCGCCCTCAACTAACAGTGTTGAACCTTTCTTTTGATAGAGCAGTTTTGAAACACTCTTTTTGTAATATCTGCAAGAGGATATTTGGATAGCTTTGAGGATTTCGTTGGAAACGGGATTACATATAAAAAGCAGACAGCAGCATTCTCAGAAACTTATTTGTGATGTGCGCCCTCAACAAACAGTGTTGAACCTTTCTTTTGATAGAGCAGTTTTGATACACTCTTTTTGAAAAATCCGCAAGAGGATATTTGGATAGCTTTGAGGATTTCGTTGGAAACGGGATTGTCTTCATATAGAATCTAGACAGAATCATTCTCAGAAGCTTCATTGGGATGTTTCAATTGAAGTCACAGTGTTGAACAGTCCCTTTCATAGAGCAGATTTGAAACACTCTTTTTGTAGTATCTGGAAGTGGACATTTGGAGCGTTCTCAGGACTACAATGAAAAAGGAAATATCTTCCAATAAAAGCTAGATAAAAGCAATCTCAGAAACTTTTTCATGATGTATCTACTCAGCTAACAGAGTTGAACCTTTCTTTTGAGAGAGCAGTTTTGAAACACTCTTTTTGTGGAATATGCAAGTGGATATTTGTCTAGCTTTGAGGATTTCGTTGGAAACGGGATTACATATAAAAAGCAGACAGCAGCATTCCCAGAAACTTCTTTGTGATGTTTGCATTGAAGTCACAGAGTTGAACATTCCCTTTCATAGAGCAGGTTTGAAACACTCTTTTTGTAGTATCTGGATGTGGACATTTGGAGCGCTTTCAAGCCTATGGTGAAAAAGGAAATATCTTCCCCAGAAAACTAGACAGAAGCATTCTCAGAATCTTATTTGTGATGTGCGCCCTCAAATAACAGTATTGAAGCTTTCTTTTGATAGAGCAGTTTTGAAACACTCTTTTCGTAAAATCTGCAAGAGGATATTTTGATAGCTTTGAGGATTTCGTTGGAAACGGGATTGTCTTCATATAAACTCTAGACAGAAGCATTCTCAGAAGCTTCATTGGGATGTTTCAATTGAAGTCACAGTGTTGAACAGTCCCTTTCATAGAGCAGGTTTGAAACACTCTTTTTGTAGTATCTGGATGTGGACATTTGGAGCGCTTTCAGGCCTATGGTGAAAAAGGAAATATCTTCCCCTGAAAACTAGACAGAAGCATTCTCAGAAACTTATTTGTGATGTGCGCCCTCAACTAACAGTGTTGAAGCATTCTTTTGATAGAGCAGTTTTGAAACACTCTTTTTGTGGAATCTGCAAGTGGATATTTGTCTAGCTTTGAGGATTTCGTTGGAAACGGGATTACATATAAAAAGCAGACAGCAGCATTCTCAGAAACTTATTTGTGATGTGCGCCCTCAACTAACAGTGTTGAACCTTTCTTTTGATAGAACAGTTTTGAAACACTCTTTTTGTAATATCTGCAAGAGGATATTTGGATAGCTTTGAGGATTTCGTTGGAAACGGGATTGTCTTCATATAAACTCTAAACAGAAGCATTCTCAGAAGCTTCATTGGGACGTTTCAATTGAAGTCACAGTGTTGAACAGTTCCTTTCATAGAACAGGTTTGAAACACTCTTTTTGTAGTATCTGGAAGTGGACATTTGGAGCGCTCTCAGGACTATGGTGAAAAAGGAAATATCTTCCAATAAAAGCTACATAGAAGCAATGTCAGAAACTTTTTCATGATGTATCTACTCAGCTAACAGAGTTGAACCTTTCTTTTGAGAGAGCAGTTTTGAAACACTCTTTTTGTGGAATCTGGAAGTGGATATTTGTCTAGCTTTGAGGATTTCGTTGGAAACGGGATTACATATAAAAAGCAGACAGCAGCATTCCCAGAATCTTGTTTGTGATGTTTGCATTCAAGTCACAGAGTTGAATATTCCCTTTCAGAGAGCAGGTTTGAAACACTCTTTTTATAGTGTCTGGATGTGTACATTTGGAGCGCTTTCAGGCCTATGGTGAAAAAGGAAATATCTTCTCCTGTAAACTAGACAGAAGCATTCTCAGAATCTTATTTGTGATGTGCGCCCTCAACTAACAGTGTTGAAGCTTTCTTTTGATAGAGCAGTTTTGAAACACTCTTTTTGTAAAATCTGCAAGAGGATATTTGGATAGCTTTGAGGATTTCGTTGGAAACGGGTTTGTCTTCATATAAACTCTAGACAGAAGCATTCTCAGAAGCTTCATTGGGATGTTTCAATTGAAGTCACAGTGTTGAACAGTCCCTTTCATAGAGCAGGTTTGAAACACTCTTTTTGTAGTATCTGGAAGTGGACATTTGGAGAGATCTCAGGAATACGGTGAAAAAGGAAATATCTTCTCCTGAAAACTAGACAGAAGCATTCTCAGAAACTTATTTGTGATGTGCGCCCTCAACTAACAGTGTTGAAGCTTTCTTTTGATAGAGCAGTTTTGAAACACTCTTTTTGTAATATCTGCAAGAGGATATTTGGATAGCTTTGAGGATTTCGTTGGAAACGGGATTAATTATAAAAAGCAGACAGCAGCATTCTCAGCAAACTTATTTGTGATGTGCGCCCTCAACTAACAGTGTGGAACTTTTCTTTTGATAGAGCAGTTTTGAAACACTCTTTTTGTAAAATCTGCAAGAGGATATTTGGATAGCTTTGAGGATTTCGTTGGAAACGGGATTGTCTTCATATAGAATCTAGACAGAAGCATTCTCAGAAGCTTCATTGGGATGTTTCAATTGAAGTCACAGTGTTGAACAGTCCCTTTCATAGAGCAGGTTTGAAACACTCTTTTTGTAGTATCTGGAAGTGGACATTTGGAGCGTTTTCAAGACTACGGTGAAAAAGGAAATATCTTCCAAATAAAGCTAGATAGAAGCAATGTCAGAAACTTTTTCATGATGTATCTACTCAGCTAACAGAGTTGAACCTTTCCTTTGAGAGAGCAGTTTTGAAACACTCTTTTTGTGGAATCTGCAAGTGGATATTTGTCTAGCTTTGAGGATTTCGTTGGAAACGGGATTACATATAAAAAGCAGACAGCAGCATTCCCAGAAACTTCTTTGTGATGTTTGCATTCAAGTCACAGAGTTGAACATTCCCTTTCATAGAGCAGGTTTGAAACACTCTTTTTGTAGTATCTGGATGTGGACATTTGGAGCGCTTTCAGGCCTATGGTGAAAAAGGAAATATCTTCCCCTGAAAACTAGACAGAAGCATTCTCAGAATCTTATTTATGATGTGCGCCCTCAACTAACAGTGTTGAAGCTTTCTTTTGATAGAGCAGTTTTGAAACACTCTTTTTGTAAAATCTGCAAGAGGATATTTGCATAGCTTTGAGGATTTCATTGGAAACGGGATTGTCTTCATATAAACTGTAGACAGAAGCATTCTCAGAAACTTCATTGGGATGTTTCTATTGAAGTCGCAGTGTTGAACAGTCCCTTTCATGGAGTAGGTTTGAAACACTCTTTTTGTAGTATCTGGACGTGGACATTTGTAGCGCTTTCAGGGCTATATTGAAAAAGGAAATATCTTCCCATAAAAACTAGACAGAAGCATTCTCAGAAACTTATTTGTGATGTGCGCCCTCAACTAACAGTTTTGAAGCATTCTTTTGATAGAGCAGTTTTGAAAAACTCTTTTTGTGGAATCTGCAAGTGGATATTTGTCTAGCTTTGAGGATTTCGTTGGAAACGGGATTACATATAAAAAGCAGACAGCAGCATTCTCAGTAAACTTATTTGTGATGTGCGCCCTCAACTAACAGTGTTGAACCTTTCTTTTGATAGAGCAGTTTTGAAACACTCTTTTTGTAATATCTGCAAGAGGATATTTGGATAGCTTTGAGGATTTCGTTGGAAACGGGATTGTCTTCATATAAACTCTAGACAGAAGCATTCTCAGAAGCTTCATTGGGATGTTTCAATTGAAGTCACAGTGTTGAACAGTCCCTTTCATAGAGCAGGTTTGAAACACTCTTTTTGTAGTATCTGGAAGTTGACATTTGGAGCGCTCTCAGGACTACGGTGAAAAAGGAAATATCTTCCAATAAAAGCTAGATAGAAGCAATGTCAGAAACTTTTTCATGATGTATCTACTCAGCTAACAGAGTTGAACCTTTCTTTTGAGAGAGCAGTTTTGAAACACTCTTTTTGTGGAATCTGGAAGTGGATATTTGTCTAGCTTTGAGGATTTCGTTGGAAACGGGATTACATATAAAAAGCAGACAGCAGCATTCCCAGAAACTTCTTTGTGATGTTTGCATTCAAGTCACAGAGTTGAACATTCCCTTTCATAGAGCAGGTTTGAAACACTCTTTTTTTAGTATCTGGATGTGGACATTTGCAGCGCTTTCAGGCCTAAGGTGAAAAAGGAAATATCTTCCCCTGAAAACTAGACAGAAGCATTCTCAGAATCTTATTTGTGATGTGTGCCCTCAACTAACAGTGTTGAAGCTTTCTTTTGATGGAGCAGTTTTGGAACACTCTTTTTGTAAAATCTGCAAGAGTATATTTGGATAGCTTTGAGGATTTCGTTGGAAACGGGATTGTCTTCATATAAAATCTAGACAGAAGCATTCTCAGAAGCGTCATTGGGATGTTTCAATTGAAGTCACAGTGTTGAACAGTCCCTTTCATAGAGCAGGTTTGAAACACTCTTTTTGTAGTATCTGGATGTGGACATTTGGAGCGCTTTCAGGCCTATGGTTTAAAAGGAAATATCTTCCCCTGAAAACTAGACAGAAGCATTCTCAGAAACTTATTTGTGATGTGCGCCCTCAACTAACAGTGTTGAAGCTTTCTTTTGAGAGAGCAGTTTTGAAACACTCTTTTTGTGGAATCTGCAAGTGGATATTTCTCTAGCTTTGAGGATTTCGTTGGAAACGGGATTACATATAAAAAGCAGACAGCAGCATTCTCAGAATTTTATTTGTGATGTGTGCCCTCAACTAACAGTGTTGAAGCTTTCTTTTGATAGAGCAGTTTTGAAACACTCTTTTTGTAAAATCTGCTAGAGGATATTTGGATAGCTTTGAGGATTTCGTTGGAAACGGGATTGTCTTCATATAAACTCTAGACAGAAGCATTCTCAGAAGCTTCATTGGGATGTTTCAATTGAAGTCACAGTGTTGAACAGTCCCTTTCATAGAGCAGGTTTGAAACACTCTTTTTGTAGTATCTGGATGTGGACATTTGGAGCGCTCTCAGGACTACGGTGAAAAAGGAAATATCTTCCAATAAAAGCTAGATAGAAGCAATGTCAGAAACTTTTTCATGATGTATCTACTCAGCTAACAGAGTTGAACCTTTCTTTTGAGAGAGCAGTTTTGAAACACTCTTTTTGTGGAATCTGCAAGTGGATATTTGTCTAGCTTTGAGGATTTCGTTGGAAACGGGATTACATATAAAAACACAAAGCAGCATTCCCAGAAACTTCTTTGTGATGTTTGCATTCAAGTCACAGAGTTGAACATTCCCTTTCATAGAGCAGGTTTGAAACACTCTTTTTGTAGTATCTGGATGTGGACATTTGGAGCGCTTTCAGGCCTATGGTGAAAAAGGAAATATCTTCCCCTGAAAACTAGACAGAACCATTCTCAGAATCTTATTTGTGATGTGCGCCCTCAACTAACAGTGTTGAAGCTTTCTTTTGATAGAGCAGTTTTGAAACCCTCTTTTGGTAAAATCTGCAAGAGGATATTTGGATAGCTTTGAGGATTTCGTTGGAAACGGGATTGTCGTCATATAAACTGTAGACAGAAGCAATGTCAGAAACTTTTTCATGATCTATCTACTCAGCTAACAGAGTTGAACCTTTCTTTTGAGACAGCAGTTTTGAAACACTCTTTTTGTGGAATCTGCAAGTGGATATTTGTCTAGCTTTGAGGATTTCGTTGGAAACGGGATTACATATAAAAAGCAGACAGCATCATTCCCAGAATCTTGTTTGTGATGTTTGCATTCAAGTAACAGAGTTGAACATTCCCTTTCAGAGAGCAGGTTTGAAACACTCTTTTTATAGTATCTGGATGTGGACATTTGGAGCGCTTTCAGGCCTATGGTGAAAAAGGAAATATCTTCTCCTGAAAACTAGACAGAAGCATTCTCAGAATCTTATTTGTGATGTGCGCCTCAACTAACAGTGTTGAAGCTTTCTTTTGATAGAGCAGTTTTGAAACACTCTTTTCGTAAAATCTGCAAGAGGATATTTGGATAGCTTTGAGGATTTCGTTGGAAACGGGATTGTCTTCATATAAACTCTAGACAGAAGCATTCTCAGAAGCTTCATTGGGATGTTTCAATTGAAGTCACAGTGTTGAACAGTCCCTTTCATAGAGCAGGTTTGAAACACTCTTTTTGTAGTATCTGGAAGTGGACATTTGGAACGCTCTCAGGACTGCGTTGAAAAAGGAAATATCTTCCAATAAAAGCTAGATAGAAGCAATGTCAGAAACTTTTTCATGATGTATCTACTCAGCTAACAGAGTTGAACCTTTCCTTTGAGAGAGCAGTTTTGAAACACTCTTTTTGTGGAATCTGCAAGTGGATATTTGTCTAGCTTTGAGGATTTCGTTGGAAACGGGAATACATATAAAAAGCAGACAGCAGCATTCCCAGAAACTTCTTTGTGATATTTGCATTCAAGTCACAGAGTTGAAAATTCCCTTTCATAGAGCAGGTTTGAAACACTCTTTTTGTAGTATCTGGATGTGGACATTTGGAGCGCTTTCAGGCCTATGGTGAAAAAGGAAATATCTTCCCCTGAAAACTAGACAGAAGCATTCTCAGAATTTTATTTCTGATGTGCGCCCTCGACTAACAGTGTTGAAGCTTTCTTTTGATAGAGCAGTTTTGAAACACACTTTTTGTAAAATCTGCAAGAGGATATTTGGATAGCTTTGAGGATTTCGTTGGAAACGAGATTGTCTTCATATAAACTCTAGACAGAAGCATTCTCAGAAGCTTCATTGGGATGTTTCAATTGAAGTCACAGTGTTGAACAGTCCCTTTCATAGAGCAGGTTTGAAACACTCTTTTTGTAGTATCTGGATGTGGACATTTGGAGCGCTTTCAGGCCTATGGTGAAAAAGGAAATATCTTCCCCTGAAAACTAGACAGAAGCATTCTCAGAAACTTATTTGTGATGTGCGCCCTCAACTAACAGTGTTGAAGCTTTCTTTTGATAGAGCAGTTTTGAAACACTCTTTTTGTAATATCTGCAAGAGGATATTTGGATAGCTTTGAGGATTTCGTTGGAAACGGGATTAATTATAAAAAGCAGACAGCAGCATTCTCAGTAAACTTATTTGTGATGTGCGCCCTCAACTAACAGTGTTGAACCTTTCTTTTGATAGAGCAGTTTTGAAACACTCTTTTTGTAATATCTGCAAGAGGATATTTGGATAGCTTTGAGGATTTCGTTGGAAACGGGATTGTCTTCATATAAACTCTAGACAGAAGCATTCTCATAAGCTTCATTGGGATGTTTCAATTGAAGTCACAGTGTTGAACAGTTCCTTTCATAGAACAGGTTTGAAACACTCTTTTTGTAGTATCTGGAAGTGGACATTTGGAGCGCTCTCAGGACTATGGTGAAAAAGGAAATATCTTCCAATAAAAGCTACATAGAAGCAATGTCAGAAACTTTTTCATGATGTATCTACTCAGCTAACAGAGGTGAACCTTTCCTTTGAGAGAGCAGTTTTGAAACACTCTTTTTGTGGAATCTGCAAGTGGATATTTGTCTAGCTTTGAGGATTTCTTTGGAAACGGGATTACATATAAAAAGCAGACAGCAGCATTCCCAGAAACTTCTTTGTGATGTTTGCATTCAAGTCACAGAGTTGAACATTCCCTTTCATAGAGCAGGTTTGAAACACTCTTTTTGTAGTATCTGGATGTGGACATTTGGAGCGCTTTCAGGCCTATGGTGAAAAAGGAAATATCTTCCCCTGAAAACTAGACAGAAGCATTCTCAGAATCTTATTTGTGATGTGCGCACTCAACTAACAGTGTTGAAGCTTTCTTTTGATAGAGCAGCTTTGAAACACTCTTTTTGTAAAATCTGCAAGAGGATATTTGGATAGCTTTGAGGATTTCGTTGGAAACGGGATTGTCTTCATATAAACTCTAGACAGTAGCATTCTCAGAAGCTTCATTGGGATGTTTCAATTGAAGTCACAGTGTTGAACAGTCCCTTTCATAGAGCAGGTTTGAAACACTCTTTTTGTAGTATCTGGATGTGGACATTTGGAGCGCTTTCAGCCCTATGGTGAAAAAGGAAATATCTTCCCCTGAAAACTAGACAGAAGCATTCTCAGAAACTTATTTGTGATGTGCGCCCTCAACTAACAGTGTTGAAGCTTTCTTTTGATAGAGCAGTTTTGAAACACTCTTTTTATGGAATCTGCAAGTGGATATTTGTCTAGCTTTGAGGATTTCGTTGGAAACTTGATTACATATAAAAAGCAGACAGCAGCATTCTCAGTAAACTTATTTGTGATGTGCGCCCTCAACTAACAGTGTTGAACCTTTCTTTTGATAGAGCAGTTTTGAAACACTCTTTTTGTAATATCTGCAAGAGGATATTTGGATAGCTTTGAGGATTTCGTTGGAAACGGGATTGTCTTCATATAAACTCTAGACAGAAGCATTCTCAGAAGCTTCATTGGGATGTTTCAATTGAAGTCACAGTGTTGAACAGTCCCTTTCATAGAGCAGGTTTGAAACACTCTTTTTGTAGTATCTGGAAGTGGACATTTGGAACGCTCTCAGGACTGCGGTGAAAAAGGAAATATCTTCCAATAAAAGCTAGATAGAAGCAATGTCAGAAACTTTTTCATGATGTATCTACTCAGCTAACAGAGTTGAACCTTTCTTTTGAGAGAGCAGTTTTGAAACACTCTTTTTGTGGAATCTGCAAGTGGATATTTGTCTAGCTTTGAGGATTTCGTTGGAAACGGGATTACATATAAAAAGCAGACAGCAGCATTCCCAGAAATTTCTTTGTGATGTTTGCATTCAGGTCACAGAGTTGAACATTCCCTTTCTTAGAGCAGGTTTGAAACACTCTTTTTGTAGTATCTGGATGTGGACATTTGGAGCGCTTTCAGGCCTATGGTGAAAAAGGGAATATGTTCCCCTGAAAACTAGACAGAAGCATTCTCAGAAACTTATTTGTGATGTGCGCCCTCAAATAACAGTGTTGAACCTTTCTTTTGATAGAGCAGTTTTGAAACACTCTTTTTGTAATATCTGCAAGAGGATATTTGGATAGCTTTGAGGATTTCGTTGGAAACGGCATTGTCTTCATATAAACTCTAGACAGAAACATTCTCAGAAGCGTCATTGGGATGTTTCAATTGAAGTCACAGTGTTGAACAGTCCCTTTCATAGAGCAGGTTTGAAACACTCTTTTTGTAGTATCTGGATGTGGACATTTGGAGCGCTTTCAGGCCTATGGTTTAAAAGGAAATATCTTCCCCTGAAAACTAGACAGAAGCATTCTCAGAAACTTATTTGTGATGTGCGCCCTCAACTAACAGTGTTGAAGCTTTCTTTTCATAGAGCAGTTTTGAAAAACTCTTTTTGTGGAATCTGCAAGTGGATATTTGTCTAGCTTTGAGGATTTCGTTGGAAACGTGATTACATATAAAAAGCAGACAGCAGCATTCTCAGAAACTTATTTGTGATGTGCGCCCTCAACTAACAGTGTTGAAGCTTTCTTTTGATAGAGCAGTTTTGAAACACTCTTTTTGTAATATCTGCAAGAGGATATTTGGATAGCTTTGAGGATTTCGTTGGAAACGGGATTAATTATACAAAGCAGACAGCATCATTCTCAGAAGCTTCATTGGGATGTTTCAATTGAAGTCACAGTGTTGAACAGTCCCTTTCATAGAGCAGATTTGAAACACTCTTTTTGTAGTATCTGGAAGGGGACATTTGGAGCGTTCTCAGCACTACAGTGAAAAAGGAAATATCTTCCAATAAAAGCTAGATAGAAGCAATATCATAAACTTTTTCGTGATGTATCTACTCAGCTAAAAGAGTTGAACCTTTCTTTTGAGAGAGCAGGTTTCAAACACTCTTTTTGTGGAATCTGCAAGTGGATATTTGTCTGGCTTTGAGGATTTCGTTGGAAACGGGATTACATATAAAAAGCAGACAGCAGCATTCCCAGAAAGTACTTTGTGAAATTTGCATTCAAGTCACAGACTTGAACAGTCCCTTTCATAGAGCAGGTTTGAAACACTCTTTTTGTAGTATCTGGAAGTGGACATTTGGAGCGCTCTCAGGACTACGTTGAAAAAGGAAATATCTTCCAATAAAAGCCAGATAGAAGCATTCTCAGAAACTTATTTGTGATGTGCGCCCTCAACTAACAGTGTTGAACCTTTCTTTTGATAGAGCAGTTTTGAAACACTCTTTTTGTAATATCTGCAAGAGGATATTTGGATAGCTTTGAGGATTTCGTTGGAAACGGGATTGTCTTCATATAAACTCTAGACAGAAGCATTCTCAGAAGCTTCATTGGGATGTTTCAATTGAAGTCACAGTGTTGAACAGTTCCTTTCTTAGAACAGGTTTGAAACACTCTTTTTGTAGTATCTGGAAGTGGACATTTGGAGCGCTCTCAGGACTACGGTGAAAAAGGAAATATCTTCCAATAAAAGCTACATAGAAGCAATGTCAGAAACTTTTTCATGATGTATCTACTCAGCTAACAGAGTTGAACCTTTCTTTTGAGAGAGCAGTTTTGAAACACTCTTTTTGTGGAATCTGGAAGTGGATATTTGTCTAGCTTTGAGGATTTCGTTGGAAACGGGATTACATATAAAAAGCAGGCAGCAGCATTCCCAGTAAACTTCTTTGTGATGTTTGCACTCAAGTCACAGAGTTGAACATTCCCTTTCATAGAGCAGGTTTGAAACACTCTTTTTGTAGTATCTGTATGTGGACATTTGGAGCGCTTTCAGGCCTATGGTTTAAAAGGAAATATCTTCCCCTGAAAACTAGACAGAAGCATTCTCAGAAACTTATTTGTGATGTGCGCCCTCAACTAACAGTGTTGAACCTTTCTTTTGATAGAGCAGTTTTGAAACACTCTTTTTGTAATATCTGCAAGAGTATATTTGGATAGCTTTGAGGATTTCGTTGGAAATGGGATTGTCTTCATATAAACTCTAGACAGAAGCATTCTCAGAAGCTTCATTGGGATGTTTCAACTGAAGAAACAGTGTTGAACAGTCCCTTTCATAGAGCAGGTTTGAAACACTCTTTTTGTAGTATCTGGAAGTGGACATTTGGAGCGCTCTCAGGACTACGGTGAAAAAGGAAATATCTTCCAATAAAAGCTAGATAGAAGCAATGTCAGAAACTTTTTCATGATGTATCTACTCAGCTAACAGAGTTGAACCTTTCTTTTGAGAGAGCAGTTTTGAAACACTCTTTTTGTGGAATCTGCAAGTGGATATTTGTCTAGCTTTGAGGATTTCGTTGGAAACGGGATTACATATAAAAAGCAGACAGCAGCATTCCCAGAAACTTCTTTGTGATGTTTGCATTCAAGTCACAGACTTGAACATTCCCTTTCATAGAGCAGGTTTGAAACACTCTTTTTGTAGTATCTGTATGTGGACATTTGGAGCGCTTTCAGGCCTATGGTGAAAAAGGAAATATCTTCCCCTGAAAACTAGACAGAAGCATTCTCAGAATCTTATTTGTGATGTGCGCCCTCAACTAACAGTGTTGAAGCTTTCTTTTGATAGAGCAGTTTTGAGACACACTTTTCGTAAAATCTGCAAGAGGATATTTTGATAGCTTTGAGGATTTCGTTGGAAACGTGATTGTCTTCATATAAACTCTAAACAGAAGCATTCCCAGTAACTTCTTTGTGATGTTTGCATTCAAGTCACAGAGTTGAACATTCCCTTTCATAGAGCAGGTTTGAAACACTCTTTTTGTAGTATCTGGATGTGGACATTTGGAACGCTTTCAGGCCTATGGTGAAAAAGGAAGTATCTTCCCCTGAAAACTAGACAGAAGCATTCTCAGAAACTTATTTGTGATGTGCGCCCTCAACTAACAGTGTTGAAACTTTCTTTTGATAGAGCAGTTTTGAAACACTCTTTTTGTGGAATCTGCAAGTGGATATTTGTCTAGCTTTGAGGATTTCGTTGGAAACGGGATTACATATAAAAAGCAAACAGCAGCATTCTCAGTAAACTTATTTGTGATGTGCGCCCTCAACTAACAGTGTTGAACCTTTCTTTTGATAGAGCAGTTTTGAAACACTCTTTTTGTAATATCTGCAAGAGGATATTTGGATAGCTTTGAGGATTTCGTTGGAAACGGGATTGTCTTCATATAAACTCTAGACAGAAGCATTCTCAGAAGCTTCATTGGGATGTTTCAATTGAAGTCACAGTGTTGAACAGTCCCTTTCATAGAGCAGGTTTGAAACACTCTTTTTGTAGTATCTGGAAGTGGACATTTGGAGAGATCTCAGGAATACGGTGATAAAGGAAATATCTTCCAATAAAAGCTAGATAGAAGCAATGTCAGAAACATTTTCATGATGTATCTACTCAGCTAACAGAGTTGAACCTTTCTTTTGAGAGAGCAGTTTTGAAACACTCTTTTTGTGTAATCTGAAAGTGGATATTTGTCTAGCTTTGAGGATTTCGTTGGAAACGGGATTACATATAAAAAGCAGACAGCAGCATTCCCAGTAACATCTTTGTGATGTTTGCATTCAAGTCACAGAGTTGAACATTCCCTTTCATAGAGCAGGTTTGAAACACTCTTTTTGTAGTATCTGGATGTGGACATTTGGAGCGCTTTCAGGCCTATGGTGAAAAAGGAAATATCTTCCCCTGAAAACTAGATAGAAGCATTCTCAGAATCTTATTTGTGATGTGCGCCCTCAACTAACAGTGTTGAAGCTTTCTTTTGATAGAGCAGTTTTGAAACACTCTTTTTGTAAAATCTGCAAGAGGATATTTGGATAGCTTTGAGGATTTCGTTGGAAACGGGATTGTCTTCATATAAACTCTAGACAGAAGCATTCTCAGAAGCTTCATTGGGATGTTTCAATTGAAGTTGCAGTGTTGAACAGTCCCTTTCATAGAGCAGGTTTGAAACACTCTTTTTGTAGTATCTGGATGTGGACATTTGGAGCGCTTTCAGGCCTATGGTTTAAAAGGAAATATCTTCCCCTGAAAACTAGACAGAAGCATTCTCAGAAACTTATTTGTGATGTGCGCCCTCAACTAACAGTGTTGAAGCTTTCTTTTGATAGAGCAGTTTTGAAACACTCTTTTTGTGGAATCTGCAAGTGGATATTTGTCTAGCTTTGAGGATTTCGTTGGAAACGGGATTACATATAAAAAGCAGACAGCAGCATTCTCAGTAAACTTATTTGTGATGTGCGCCCTCAACTAACAGTGTTGAACCTTTCTTTTGATAGAGCAGTTTTGAAACACTCTTTTTGTAATATCTGCAAGAGGATATTTGGATAGCTTTGAGGATTTCGTTGGAAACGGGATTGTCTTCATATAAACTCTAGACAGAAGCATTCTCAGAAGCTTCATTCGGATGTTTCAATTGAAGTCACAGTGTTGAACAGTCCTTTCATACAGCAGGTTTGAAACACTCTTTTTGTAGTATCTGGAAGTGGACATTTGGAGCGCTCTCAGGACTGCGGTGAAAAAGGAAATATCTTCCAATAAAAGCTAGATAGAAGCAATGTCAGAAACTTTTTCATGACGTATCTACTCAGCTAACAGAGTTGAACCTTTCTTTTGAGAGAGCAGTTTTGAAACACTCTTTTTGTGGAATCTGCAAGTGGATATTTGTCTAGCTTTGAGGATTTCGTTGGAAACGGGATTACATATAAAAAGCAGACAGCAGCATTCCCAGAAACTTCTTTGTGAAGTTTGCATTGAAGTCACAGAGTTGAACATTCCCTTTCATAGAGCAGGTTTGAAACACTCTTTTTGTAGTATCTGTATGTGGACATTTGGAGCGCTTTCAGGCCTATGGTGAAAAAGGAAATATCTTCCCCTGAAAACTAGACAGAAGCATTCTCAGAAACTTATTTGTGATGTGCGCCCTCAACTAACAGTGTTGAAGCTTTCCTTTGATAGAGCAGTTTTGAAACACTCTTTTTGTAATATCTGCAAGAGGATATTTGGATAGCTTTGAGGATTTCGTTGGAAACGGGATTGTCTTCATATAAACTCTAGACAGAAGCATTCTCAGAAGCTTCATTGGGATGTTTCAATTGAAGTCACAGTGTTGAACAGTCCCTTTCATAGAGCAGGTTTGAAACACTCTTTTTGTAGTATCTGGAAGTGGACATTTGGAGCGCTCTCAGGACTGCGGTGAAAAAGGAAATATCTTCCAATAAAAGCTACATAGAAGCAATGTCAGAAACTTTTTCATGATGTATCTACTCAGCTAACAGAGTTGAACCTTTCTTTTGAGAGAGCAGTTTTGAAACACTCTTTTTGTGGAATCTGCAAGTGGATATTTGTCTAGATTTGAGGATTTCGTTGGAAACGGGATTACATATAAAAAGCAGACAGCAGCATTCCCAGAAACTTCTTTGTGATGTTTGCATTCAAGTCACAGAGTTGAACATTCCCTTTCATAGAGCAGGTTTGAAACACTCTTTTTGTAGTATCTGGATGTGGACATTTGGAGCGCTCTCAGGCCTATGGTTGAAAAGGAAATATCTTCCCCTGAAAACTAGACAGAAGCATTCTCAGAAACTTATTTGTGATGTGCGCCCTCAACTAACAGTGTTGAACTTTTCTTTTGATAGAGCAGTTTTGAAACACTCTTTTTGTAAAATCTGCAAGAGGATATTTGGATAGCTTTGAGGATTTCGTTGGAAACGGGATTGTCTTCATATAAAATCTAGACAGAAGCATTCCCAGAAACTTCTTTGTGATGTTCGCATTCAAGTCACAGAGTTGAACATTCCCTTTCATAGAGCAGGTTTGAAACACTCTTTTTGAAGTATCTGGATGTGGACATTTGCAGCGCTTTCAGGCCTAAGGTGAAAAAGGAAATATCTTCCCCTGAAAACTAGACAGAAGCATTCTCAGAAACTTATTTGTGATGTGCGCCCTCAACTAACAGTGTTGAAGCTTTCTTTTGATAGAGCTGTTTTGAAACACTCTTTTTGTGGAATCTGCAAGCGGATATTTGTCTAGCTTTGAGGATTTCGTTGGAAACGGGATTACATATAAAAAGCAGACAGCAGCATTCTCAGCAAACTTATTTGTGATGTGCGCCCTCAACTAACAGTGTGGAACTTTTCTTTTGATAGAGCAGTTTTGAAACACTCTTTTTGTAAAATCTGCAAGAGGATATTTGGATAGCTTTGAGGATTTCGTTGGAAACGGGATTGTCTTCATATAGAATCTAGACAGAAACATTCTCAGAAGCTTCATTGGGATGTTTCAATTGAAGTCACAGTGTTGAACAGTCCCTTTCATAGAGCAGGTTTGAAACACTCTTTTTGTAGTATCTGGAAGTGGACATTTGGAGCGCTCTCAGGACTACGGTGAAAAAGGAAATATCTTCCAATAAAAGCTACATAGAAGCAATGTCAGGAACTTTTTCATGATGTACCTACTGAGCTAAAAGAGTTGAACTTTTCTTTTGAGACAGCAGTTTTGAAACACTCTTTTTGTGGAATCTGCAAGTGGATATTTGTCTAGCTTCGAGGATTTCGTTGGAAACGGGATTACATATAAAAAGCAGACAGCAGCATTCCCAGTAACTTCTTTGTGATGTTTGCATTCAAGTCACAGAGTTGAACATTCCCTTTCATAGAGCAGGTTTGAAACACTCTTTTTGTAGTATCTGGATGTGGACATTTGGAGCGCTTTCAGGCCTATGGTGAAAAAGGAAATATGTTCCCCTGAAAACTAGACAGAAGCATTCGCAGAATCTTATTTGTGATGTGCGCCCTCAACTAACAGTGTTGAAGCTTTCTTTTGATAGAGCAGTTTTGAAACACTCTTTTTGTAAAATCTGCAAGAGGATATTTGGATAGCTTTGAGGATTTCGTTGGAAACGGGATTGTCTTCATATAAACTCTAGACAGAAGCATTCTCAGAAGCTTCATTGGGATGTTTCAATTGAAGTCACAGTGTTGAAAAGTCCCTTTCATAGAGCAGGTTTGAAACACTCTTTTTGTAGTAGCTGGAAGTGGACATTTGGAGAGATCTCAGGAATACAGTGATAAAGGAAATATCTTCCAATAAAAGCTAGATAGAAGCAATGTCAGAAACTTTTTCATGATGTATCTACTCAGCTAACAGCAGTTGAACCTTTCTTTTGAGACAGCAGTTTTGAAACACTCTTTTTGTGGAATCTGGAAGTGGATATTTGTCTAGCTTTGAGGATTTCGTTGGAAACGGGATTACATATAAAAAGCAGACAGCAGCATTCCCAGGAAACTTCTTTGTGATGTTTGCATTCAAGTCACAGAGTTGAACATTCCCTTTCATAGAGCAGGTTTGAAACACTCTTTTTGTAGTATCTGGATGTGGACATTTGGAGCGCTTTCAGGCCTATGGTGAAAGAGGAAATATCTTCCCCTGAAAACTAGACAGAAGCATTCTCAGAATCTTATTTGTGATGTGCGCCCTCAACTAACAGTGTTGAAGCTTTCTTTTGATAGAGCAGTTTTGAAACACTCTTTTTGTAAAATCTGCAAGAGGATATTTGGATAGCTTTGAGGATTTCGTTGGAAACGGGATTGTCTTCATATAAACTCTAGACAGAAGCATTCTCAGTAAGCTTCATTGGGATGTTTCAATTGAAGTCACAGTGTTGAACAGTCCCTTTCATAGAGCAGGTTTGAAACACTCTTTTTGTAGTATCTGGATGTGGACATTTGGAGCGCTTTCAGGCCTATGGTTTAAAAGGAAATATCTTCCCCTGAAAACTAGACAGAAGCATTCTCAGAAACTTATTTGTGATGTGCGCCCTCAACTAACAGTGTTGAAGCATTCTTTTGATAGAGCAGTTTTGAAACACTCTTTTTGTGGAATCTGCAAGTGGATATTTGTCTAGCTTTGAGGATTTCGTTGGAAACGGGATTACATATAAAAAGCAGACAGCAGCATTCTCAGTAAACTTATTTGTGATGTGCGCCCTCAACTAACAGTGTTGAACCTTTCTTTTGATAGAGCAGTTTTGAAACACTCTTTTTGTAATATCTGCAAGAGGATATTTGGATAGCTTTGAGGATTTCGTTGGAAACGGGATTGTCTTCATATAAACTCTAGACAGAAGCATTCTCAGAAGCTTCATTGGGATGTTTCAATTGAAGTCACAGTGTTGAACAGTCCCTTTCATAGAGCAGGTTTGAAACACTCTTTTTGTAGTATCTGGAAGTGGACATTTGGAGCGCTCTCAGGACTACGGTGATAAAGGAAATATCTTCCAATAAAAGCTAGATAGAAGCAATGTCAGAAACTTTTTCATGATGTATCTACTCAGCTAACAGAGTTGAACCTTTCTTTTGAGAGAGCAGTTTTGAAACACTCTTTTTGTGGAATCTGGAAGTGGATATTTGTCTAGCTTTGAGGATTTCGTTGGAAACGGGATTACATATAAAAAGCAGACAGCAGCATTCCCAGAAACTTCTTTGTGATGTTTGCATTCAAGTCACAGAGTTGAACATTCCCTTTCAGAGAGCAGGTTTCAAACACTCTTTTTGTAGTATCTGGATGTGGACATTTGGAGCGCTTTCAGGCCTATGGTGAAAAAGGAAATATCTTCCCCTGAAAACTAGACAGAAGCATTCTCAGAATCTTATTTGTGATGTGCGCCCTCAACTAACAGTGTTGAAGCTTTCTTTTGATAGAGCAGTTTTGAAACACTCTTTTCGTAAAATCTGCAAGAGGATATTTTGATAGCTTTGAGGATTTCGTTGGAAACGGGATTGTCTTCATATAAATTCTAGACAGAAGCATTCTCAGAAGCTTCATTGGGATGTTTCAATTGAAGTCACAGTGTTGAACAGTCCCTTTCATAGAGCAGGTTTGAAACACTCTTTTTGTAGTATCTGGAAGTGGACATTTGGAGAGATCTCAGGAATACGGTGATAAAGGAAATATCTTCCAATAAAAGCTAGATAGAAGCAATGTCAGAAAATTTTTCATGAGGTATCTACTCAGCTAACAGAATTGAACCTTTCTTTTGAGAGAGCAGTTTTGAAACACTCTTTTTGTGGAATCTGCAGGTGGATATTTGTCTAGCTTTGAGGATTTCGTTGGAAACGGGATTACATATAAAAAGCAGACAGCAGCGTTCCCAGAATCTTCTTTGTGATGTTTGCATTCAAGTCACAGAGTTGAACATTCCCTTTCATAGAGCAGGTTTGAAACACTCTTTTTATAGTATCTGGATGTGGACATTTGGAGCGCTTTCAGGCCTATGGTGAAAAAGGAAATATCTTCTCCTGAAAACTAGACAGAAACATTCTCAGAATCTTATTTGTGATGTGCGCCCTCAACTAACAGTGTTGAAGCTTTCTTTTGATAGAGCAGTTTTGAAACACTCTTTTTGTAAAATCTGCAAGAGGATATTTCGATAGCTTTGAGGATTTCATTGGAAACGGGATTGTCTTCATATAAACTCTAGACAGAAGCATTCTCAGAAGCGTCATTGGGATGTTTCAATTGAAGTCACAGTGTTGAACAGTCCCTTTCATAGAGCAGGTTTGAAACACTCTTTTTGTAGTATCTGGATGTGGACATTTGGAGCGCTTTCAGGCCTATGGTTTAAAAGGAAATATCTTCCCCTGAAAACTAGACAGAAGCATTCTCAGAAACTTATTTGTGATGTGCGCCTTCAACTAACAGTGTTGAAGCATTCTTTTGATAGAGCAGTTTTGAAACACTCTTTTTGTGGAATCTGCAAGTGGATATTTGTCTAGCTTTGAGGATTTCGTTGGAAACGGGATTACATATAAAAAGCAGACAGCAGCATTCTCAGTAAACTTATTTGTGATGTGCGCCCTCAACTAACAGTGTTGAACCTTTCTTTTGATAGAGCAGTTTTGAAACACTCTTTTTGTAATATCTGCAAGAGGATATTTGGATAGCTTTGAGGATTTCGTTGGAAACGGGATTGTCTTCATATAAACTCTAGACAGAAGCATTCTCAGAAGCTTCATTGGGATGTTTCAATTGAAGTCACAGTGTTGAACAGTCCCTTTCATAGAGCAGGTTTGAAACACTCTTTTTGTAGTATCTGGAAGTGGACATTTGGAGAGATCTCAGGACTACGGTGAAAAAGGAAATATCTTCCAATAAAAGCTAGATAGAAGCAATGTCAGAAACTTTTTCATGATGTATCTACTCAGCTAACAGAGTTGAACCTTTCCTTTGAGAGAGCAGTTTTGAAACACTCTTTTTGTGGAATCTGCAAGTGGATATTTGTCTAGCTTTGAGGATTTCGTTGGAAACGGGATTACATATAAAAAGCAGACAGCAGCATTCCCAGGAACTTCTTTGTGATGTTTGCATTCAAGTTACAGAGTTGAACATTCCCTTTCATAGAGCAGGTTTGAAACACTCTTTTTGTAGTATCTGGATGTGGACATTTGGAGCGCTTTCAGGCCTATGGTGAAAAAGGAAATATCTTCCCCTGAAAACTAGACAGAAGCATTCTCAGAATCTTATTTGTGATGTGCGCCCTCAACTAACAGTGTTGAAGCTTTCTTTTGATAGAGCAGTTTTGAAACACTCTTTTTGTAAAATCTGCAAGAGGATATTTGGATAGCTTTGAGGATTTCGCTGGAAACGGGATTGTCTTCATATAAACTCTAGACAGAAGCATTCTCAGAAGCTTCATTGGGATGTTTCAATTGAAGTCACAGTGTTGAACAGTCCCTTTCATAGAGCAGGTTTGAAAAACTCTTTTTGTAGTATCTGGAAGTGGACACTTGGAGCGCTCTCAGGAATACGGTGAAAAAGGAAATATCTTCCAATAAAAGCTAGATAGAAGCAATGTCAGAAACTTTTTCATGATGTATCTACTCAGCTAACAGAGTTGAAACTTCCTTTGAGAGAGCAGTTTTGAAACACTCTTTTTGTGGAATCTGCAAGTGGATATTTGTCTAGCTTTGAGGATTTCGTTGGAAACGGGATTACATATAAAAAGCAGACAGCAGCATTCCCAGAAACTTCTTTGTGATGTTTGCATTCAAGTCACAGAGTTGAACATTCCCTTTCATAGAGCAGGTTTGAAACACTCTTTTTGTAGTATCTGGATGTGGACATTTGCAGCGCTTTCAGGCCTAAGGTGAAAAAGGAAATATCTTCCCCTGAAAACTAGACAGAAGCATTCTCAGAATCTTATTTGTGATGTGCGCCCTCAACTAACAGTGTTGAAGCTTTCTTTTGATAGAGCAGTTTTGAAACACTCTTTTTGTAAAATCTGCAAGAGGATATTTGGATAGCTTTGAGGATTTCGTTGGAAACGGGATTGTCTTCATATAAACTCTAGACAGAAGCATTCTCAGATGCTTCATTGGGATGTTTCAATTGAAGTCACAGTGTTGAACAGTCCCTTTCATAGAGCAGGTTTGAAACACTCTTTTTGTAGTATCTGGATGTGGACATTTGGAGCGCTTTCAGGTCTATGGTGAAAAAGGAAATATCTTCCCCTGAAAACTAGACAGAAGCATTCTCAGAAACTTATTTGTGATGTGCGCCCTCAACTAACAGTGTTGAACCTTTCTTTTGATAGAGCAGTTTTGAAACACTCTTTTTGTAATATCTGCAAGAGGATATTTGGATAGCTTTGAGGATTTCGTTGGAAACGGGATTACATATAAAAAGCAGACAGCAGCATTCTCAGAAACTTATTTGTGATGTGCGCCCTCAACTAACAGTGTTGAAGCTTTCTTTTGATAGAGCAGTTTTGAAACACTCTTTTTGTAATATCTGCAAGAGGATATTTGGATAGCTTTGAGGATTTCGTTGGAAACGGGATTAATTATACAAAGCAGACAGCAGCATTCTCAGAAGCTTCATTGGGATGTTTCAATTGAAGTCACAGTGTTGAACAGTCCCTTTCGTAGAGCAGGTTTGAAACACTCTTTTTGTAATATCTGGAAGTGGACATTTGGAGCGTTCTCAGGACTATGGTGAAAAAGGAAATATCTTCCAATAAAAGCTAGATAGAAGAAATGTCAGAAACTTTTTCATGATGTATCTACTCAGCTAACAGAGTTGAACCTTTCCTTTGAGAGAGCAGTTTTGAAACACTCTTTTTGTGGAATCTGTAAGTGGATATTTGTCTAGCTTTGAGGATTTCGTTGGAAACGGGATTACATATAAAAAGCAGACAGCAGCATTCCCAGAAACTTCTTTGTGATGTTTGCATTGAAGTCACAGAGTTGAACATTCCCTTTCATAGAGCAGGTTTGAAACACTCTTTTTGTAGTATCTGGATGTGGACATTTGGAGCGCTTTCTGGCCTATGGTGAAAAAGGAAATATCTTCCACTGAAAACTAGACAGAAGTAGTCTCAGAAACTTATTTGTGATGTGCGCCCTCAACTAACAGTGTTGAAGCTTTCTTTTGATAGAGCAGTTTTGAAACATTCTTTTTGTAAAATCTGAGAGAGGATATTTGGATAGCTTTGAGGATTTCGTTGGAAACGGGATTGTCTTCATATTAACCCTAGACAGTAGCATTTTCAGAAGCTTCATTGGGATGTTTCAATTGAAGTCACAGTGTTGAACAGTCCCTTTCATAGAGCAGGTTTGAAACACTCTTTTTGCAGCATCTGGAAGTGGACATTTGGAGCGTTCTCAGGACTACGGTGAAAAAGGAAATATCTTCCAATAAAAGCTAGATAGAAGCAATGTCAGAAACTTTTTCATGATGTATCTACTCAGCTAAAAGAGTTGAACCTTTCTTTTGAGAGAGCAGTTTTGAAACACTATTTTTGTGGAATCTGCAAGTGGATATTTGTCTAGCTTTGAGGATTTCGTTGGAAACGGGATTACATATAAAAAGCAGACAGCAGCATTCCCAGAAACTTCTTTGTGATACTTGCATTCAAGTCACAGACTTGAACATTCCCTTCCATAGAGCGGGTTTGAAACACTCTTTTTGTAGTATCTGGATGTGGACATTTGGAGCGCTTTCAGGCCTATGGTGAAAAAGGAAATATCTTCCCCTGAAAACTAGACAGTAGCATTCTCAGAATCTTATTTGTGATGTGCGCCCTCAACTAACAGTGTTGAAGCTTTCTTTTGATACAGCAGTTTTGAAACACTCTTTTCGTAAAATCTGCAAGAGGATATTTTGATAGCTTTGAGGATTTCGTTGGAAACGGGATTGTCTTCATATAAACTCTAGACAGAAGCATTCTCAGAAGCTTCATTGGGATGTTTCAATTGAAGTCACAGTGTTGAACAGTCCCTTTCATAGAGCAGGTTTGAAACACTCTTTTTGTAGTATCTGGAAGTGGACATTTGGAGAGATCTCAGGAATACGGTGATAAAGGAAATATCTTCCAATAAAAGCTAGATAGAAGCAATGTCAGAAAATTTTTCATGATGTATCTACTCAGCTAACAGAGTTGAAACTTTCTTTTGAGAGAGCAGTTTTGAAACACTCTTTTTGTGGAATCTGCAAGTGGATATTTGTCTAGATTTGAGGATTTCGTTGGAAACGGGATTACATATAAAAAGCAGACAGCAGCATTCCCAGAAACTTCTTTGTGAAGTTTGCATTCAAGTCACAGAGTTGAACATTCCCTTTCATAGAGCAGGTTTGAAACACTCTTTTTGTAGTATCTGTATGTGGACATTTGGAGCGCTTTCAGGCCTATGGTGAAAAAGGAAATATCTTCCCCTGAAAACTAGACAGAAGCATTCTCAGAATCTTATTTGTGATGTGCGCCCTCAACTAACAGTGTTGAAGCTTTCTTTTGATAGAGCAGTTTTGAAACACTCTTTTTGTAAAATCTGCAAGAGGATATTTGGATAGCTTTGAGGATTTCGTTGGAAACGGGATTGTCTTCATATAAACTCTAGACAGAAGCATTCCCAGAAACTTCTTTGTGATGTTTGCATTCAAGTCACAGAGTTGAACATTCCCTTTCATATAGCAGGTTTGAAACACTCTTTTTGTAGTATCTGGATGTGGACATTTGCAGCGCTTTCAGGCCTAAGGTGAAAAAGGAAATATCTTCCCCTGAAAACTAGACAGAAGCATTCTCAGAAACTTATTTGTGATGTGCGCCCTCAACTAACAGTGTTGAAGCTTTCTTTTGATAGAGCAGCTTTGAAACACTCTTTTTGTGGAATCTGCAAGTGTATATTTGTCTAGCTTTGAGGATTTCGTTGGAAACGGGATTACATATAAAAAGCAGACAGCAGCATTCTCAGAAACTTATTTGTGATGTGCGCCCTCAACTAACAGTGTTGAAGCTTTATTTTGATAGAGCAGTTTTGAAACACTCTTTTTGTAATATCTGCAAGAGAATATTTGGATAGCTTTGAGGATTTCGTTGGAAACGGGATTGTCTTCATATAAACTCTAGAAAGAAGCATTCTCAGAGCTTCATTGGGATGTTTCAATTGAAGTCACAGTGTTGAACAGTCCCTTTCATAGAGCAGGTTTGAAACACTCTTTTTGTAGTATCTGGAAGTGGACATTTGGAGCGCTCTCAGGACTACGGTGATAAAGGAAATATCTTCCAATAAAAGCTAGATAGAAGCAATGTCAGAAACTTTTTCATCATGTATCTACTCAGCTAACAGAGTTGAACCTTTCTTTTCACAGAGCAGTTTTGAAACACTCTTTTTGTGGAATCTGCAAGTGGATATTTGTCTAGCTTTGAGGATTTCGTTGGAAACGGGATTACATATGAAAAGCAGACAGCAGCATTCCCAGAAACTTCTTTGTGATGTTTGCATTCAAGTCACAGACTTGAACATTCCCTTTCATAGAGCAGGTTTGAAACACTCTTTTTGTAGTATCTGGATGTGGACATTTACAGCGCTTTCAGGCCTAAGGTGAAAAAGGAAATATCTTCCCCTGAAAACTAGACAGAAGTAGTCTCAGAAACGTATTTGTGATGTGCGCCCTCAACTAACAGTGTTGAAGCTTTCTTTTGATAGAGCAGTTTTGAAACATTCTTTTGGTAAAATCTGCAAGAGGATATTTGGATAGCTTTGAGGATTTCGTTGGAAACGGGATTGTCTTCATATTAACCCTAGACAGTAGCATTCTCAGAAGCTTCATTGGGATGTTTCAATTGAAGTCACAGTGTTGAACAGTCCCTTTCATAGAGCAGGTTTGAAACACTCTTTTTGTAGTATCTGGATGTGGACATTTGGAGCGCTTTCAGGCCTATGGTTTAAAAGGAAATATCTTCCCCTGAAAACTAGACAGAAGCATTCTCAGAAACTTATTTGTGATGTGCGCCCTCAACTAACAGTGTTGAAGCTTTCTTTTGATAGAGCAGTTTTGAAACACTCTTTTTGTGGAATCTGCAAGTGGATATTTGTCTAGCTTTGAGGATTTCGTTGGAAACGGGATTACATATAAAAAGCAGACAGCAGCATTCTCAGAAACTTATTTGTGATGTGCGCCCTCAACTAACAGTGTTGAAGCTTTCTTTTGATAGAGCAGTTTTGAAACACTCTTTTTGTAATATCTGCAAGAGGATATTTGGATAGCTTTGAGGATTTCGTTGGAAACGGGATTAATTATACAAAGCAGACAGCATCATTCTCAGAAGCTTCATTGGGATGTTTCAATTGAAGTCACAGTGTTGAACAGTCCCTTTCATAGAGCAGATTTGAAACACTCTTTTTGTAGTATCTGGAAGTGGACATTTGGAGCGTACTCAGCACTACAGTGAAAAAGGAAATATCTTCCAATAAAAGCTAGATAGAAGCAATGTCAGAAAATTTTTCATGATGTATCTACTCACCTAACAGGGTTGAACCTTTCTTTTGAGAGAGCAGTTTTGAAACACTCTTTTTGTGGAATCTGCAAGTGGATATTTGTCTAGCTTTGAGGATTGCGTTGGAAACGGGATTACATATAAAAAGCAGACAGCAGCATTCCCAGAAAACTTCTTTGTGATGTTTGCATTCAAGTCACAGACTTGAACATTCCCTTTCATAGAGCAGGTTTGAAACACTCTTTTTGTAGTATCTGGATGCGGACATTTGGAGCGCTTTCAGGCCTATGGTGAAAAAGGAAATATCTTCCCCTGAAAACTAGACAGAAGCATTCTCAGAAACTTATTTGTGATGTGCGCCCTCAACTAACAGTGTTGAACCTTTCTTTTGATAGAGCAGTTTTGAAACACTCTTTTTGTAATATCTGCAAGAGGATATTTGGATAGCTTTGAGGATTTCGTTGGAAACGGTATTGTCTTCATGTAAACTCTAGACAGAAGCATTCTCAGAAGCTTCATTGGGATGTTTCAATTGAAGTCACAGTGTTGAACAGTCCCTTTCATAGAGCAGGTTTGAAACACTCTTTTTGTAGTATCTGGATGTGGACATTTGGAGCGCTTTCAGGCCTATGGTGAAAAAGGAAATATCTTCCCCTGAAAACTAGACAGAAGCATTCTCAGAAACTTATTTGTGATGTGCGCCCTCAACTAACAGTGTTGAAGCTTTCTCTTGATAGAGCAGTTTTGAAACACTCTTTTTGTGGAATCTGCACGTGGATATTTGTCTAGCTTTGAGGATTTCGTTGGAAACGGGATTACATATAAAAAGCAGACAGCAGCATTCTCAGTAAACTTATTTGTGATGTGCGCCCTCAACTAACAGTGTTGAACCTTTCTTTTGATAGAGCAGTTTTGAAACACTCTTTTTGTAATATCTGCAAGAGGATATTTGGATAGCTTTGAGGATTTCGTTGGAAACGGGATTGTCTTCATATAAACTCTAGACAGAAGCATTCTCAGAAGCTTCATCGGGATGTTTCAATTGAAGTCACAGTGTTGAACAGTTCCTTTCGTAGAACAGGTTTGAAACACTCTTTTTGTAGTATCTGGAAGTGGACATTTCGAGCGCTCTCAGGAATACGGTGATAAAGGAAATATCTTCCAATAAAAGCTAGATAGAAGCAATGTCAGAAACTGTTTCATGATGTATCTACTCAGCTAACAGAGTTGAACCTTTCCTTTGAGAGAGCAGTTTTGAAACACTCTTTTTGTTGAATCTGCAAGTGGATATTTGTCTAGCTTTGAGGATTTCGTTGGAAACGGGATTACATATAAAAAGCATACAGCAGCATTCCCAGAATCTTCTTTGTGATGTTTGCATTCAAGTCACAGAGTTGAACAGTCCCTTTCATAGAGCAGGTTTGAAACAGTCTTTTTGTAATATCTGGATGTGGACATTTGGAGCGCTTTCAGGCCTATGGTGAAAAAGGAAATATCTTCCCCTGAAAACTAGACAGAAGCATTCTCAGAAACTTATTTGTGATGTGCGCCCTCAACTAACAGTGTTGAAGCTTTCTTTTGATAGAGCAGTTTTGAAACACTCTTTTTGTAATATCTGCAAGAGGATATTTGGATAGCTTTGAGGATTTCGTTGGAAACGGGATTGTCTTCATATAAACTCTAGGCAGAAGCATTCTCAGAAGCTTCATTGGGATGTTTCAATTGAAGTCACAGTGTTGAACAGTCCCTTTCATAGAGCAGGTTTGAAACACTCTTTTTGTAGTATCTGGATGTGGACATTTGGAGCGCTTTCAGGCCTATGGTGAAAAAGGAAATATCTTCCCCTGAAAACTAGACAGAAGCATTCTCAGAAACTTATTTGTGATGTGCGCCCTCAACTAACAGTGTTGAAGCTTTCTTTTGATACAGCAGTTTTGAAACACTCTTTTTGTGGAATCTGCAAGTGTATATTTGTCTAGCTTTGAGGATTTCGTTGGAAACGGGATTACATATAAAAAGCAGACAGCTAAGCATTCTCCGAAACTTATTTGTGATGGGCGCCCTCAACTAACAGTGTTGAAGCTTTCTTTTGATAGAGCAGTTTTGAAACACTCTTTTTGTAATATCTGCAAGAGGATATTTGGATAGCTTTCAGGATTTCGTTGGAAACGGGATTGTCTTCATATAAACTCTAGACATA